>NC_000004.12:116345623-116497138 GCF_000001405.40 Homo sapiens
AATACCAGGTAGAATTATCTTTTACCCCCATGATCTTCCCCTTGGTTGAGCCTGACCTCATCCTCTGCATTAAAAGCTTATTTACAGTTCTCTCTCATAATGATGGTGGTGAGTCAAATAAAAGACAAGGAGCCAGAGTCCTCTGTCTGCAGTGCCACTATAATTCACCTGTAATTCACGTAGAGCTCTCACCTGCATCTTCACCTGCAACTTCTACATATAGTTTCCTTCTGTCTTGTTTACAAAACTCAGCTGTTTTATGCCTTTCTTACCTTCCTTTACATCAAATAACTCACATTTTGTTTTGTAAAGGCCAACATTTATTGTAACATTTCTTCTTGTGTTAGAGTTTTATTTGCATAGGTATTGTTTTTGTTAGTACTCTGGATAAAAAGTGCAATGAGTCCATTTCGATTTTTATTTGGAGATATATTTTTACAACGATTGTTTTCCACAGATGCATATATAGTGTTAGAGTGTGAACCTCTCTCTTTATATAATTTTAATAGGTTTGATTTAAAAGCTCTAGAACAAGTTTCATGAAGCAAATGTCACAAAATATATAATATAGTTTAAAATGTTTTTAAAATTACATACATACATTGATTTCCGGACATTATAATTTATTTATAACAACAAGTGATGGGTACTAAAATTTACTAAATATATGTAAACTCACTTAATAAACAACAAACGTGCTTGCTTGCTACTTTTCCATACATTAATCACATGGTCATGATACAAGGGAATTTGAGAATAACAAGGTAAAAATCACCAGAAATTCATTCTAATTGTTACAGAGTATTGACCCATCATATTTCATACATTAGAGAATGAAATTTTAATTTTACTTAATTTATGTTATTAGGTGTTTTATTTTTTAACAAGTTTAAGTTGTAGGATATAGGTTTTTAAAAGATAGGTGAAAAGCAAATACAGACTATGGCCACCAAATCAATAGACCTTTAAAAACCAATTAGTTCTTCAAATATATACCAAATGGACAAGGTACACATTAATATGAAAGTCATAAGTAAGAAAAGTAAATAGAAAAAGGAAAGTAATTGCTTTTCAGTGAAGCTTTAAAAAGAATAAACCAAAGCAGTCAGGAAGAAAATCCTGTGGCTTACAAAATGATTTGCCATTGCAACGGTTAATTTCTAGTTTATAATGGGTTTTATTTCCACACTTTTGCAGTAATACATTCATTTCATGCCCAATTTATACCAGAGTTGGCCAGAGAATCCCTTATAGAGATAAGGCAGTTATATTTCATCTTATCTTCTGAGCTATATCAGCATAACATTCTGTAACACTGGAAGATACTAACACAATGTACCAATAAAATGTAGGCAAGATCAGTTTTATCTCTCTAATGGAGAAAAGACTGTTGATTTAATAACACATGTAGCTTTCAATCTACTCAGCTAGCATAGCTGTATTGTGTTAGTCAGTTTGACTCATTTCTCAAAATTTTGAATGGCACTTGTTTTTGCTTATATACATCACTAAATTATTCAAAACTGATTATGTATATGGAAGTATACTTTAAAAAGTGGGACATTAGCAAGCAAACTTCACTTTTCTTTTTGATGTACTTCATTACATTTCAGCTTTTAAAGGGAGAAAAAAACTAAAAAGTATATAGCCAAAATATTTAAATTTTGTAATATCAAAATTGTAATAATTATACTAGGGAAAACATTTAATTTAGGAAAACAAAGCTTGCATGTGATAATAATCATATGAAATCTAGTTAGTATGTTTTGGTAATCTTGATTAACAAAAGTTTACATAAGCTTTTATAGAATGCAGGCATATTTGAGACTCCTACTGTCATTTTTTTAGTTACAAAGGGTAGATGAGAAATAATATTTTTTTATGAGAGTGTAGTACAGGAAGAACCTAATTGCTATTTTCATGAGAAGATGAAGGGAGTGTGAAAGTGAGAAGTTAAGAATGAGAGTTTGTTTGCCAAAAGACAGAGAGTCCAGAGCATGCAGTGAAATGAATTTAGAGAGAGGAGATAGGGAGGACTTGGTGAAGAGAAAAGGAAGAACACACAGCTATGGGCAGGAAAATACGAATATGGAAAAGATGGTAGTTAAAATTGGCAATGTGATTTTCTAAAGCATTATCACAGAGAGGTGGATTAGAATTCACTTAGGCTTTTCATAAACAGCAGCAGCGCTCTGGATGGTCTGCAGTCCTAACATATATTATTACCTTCTTAATTGAAGGACACCAGCCAATTCCGAAAGGAAGATCCTGGTTTGGATTAACTATATGTTTTAAAGGTGCAGTGAGGTCCAAGGTGGAACTCAAGAGTTCATTGTTACCTGCATTTATGCTCATAAAAAGTCAAGTAGAGGCATCTGTGACTGCCCACTGTGAGATGCTAAAGTCTAAGTTTGCAAGGCTGGGGAAGAGGGTGGGAAGTCGGGGAGTGGAAGGAGGTGTGGAAGTCAGGATGTTCCATAAAGGCAGGGAATATATGGACAGCCCAGCATAGGTTTTCAAAGACCAATCATAGGTATTCAGAACCCAAGAGGATAGAGAGGTGGCAACAGAAATGATGGGACATTGTTTACACATAGTGAGATTAAGCAATACTCATTTGAACTCCTTAAGTAAGCATATAATAGCAAGCAATAATAATCAAATGTCTCACTGTAGGAGAACAGAGTTAAAAATAAGAATCTTATGGATGTGATAGTACTCTGTTTCTTGGTCCAGGTTCTGATTACATTAAAGTGCAAGTGTTTCTGTGAATCTGAGTTTTCATTTCTCTGGGATAAATGTTTAAGAGAAGAATTACTGTCTTATAAGTGCATGTGTTACTAAGAAACTATCAAATATTTTCCAGAATGTCTATACTGTAATACAACCCCACTATCAATATATGAGGTACCCAGTTACTCTACATGCTTGCCAGTGTTATGACATTACCATATGGCTTTTTAAAAATTTTCAGTTATTCTAATAGATACGTAACAATATGTCATTATGGTTCTAATTTGCAGTTCCCCAGTAGCTAATGATGTTGAATATCATATATTTACCTCTCGTATGTATTTTCTTTAAAAAAAAAAGCCTGTTGGTGTATTTTGTACGTTTTCTAATTATATTGTTTGTTTTATTGATGAGTTTTGAAAGTAATTTGTATATTCTAGATACAAGACTTTCCTCAGTCATGTGGTTTGCCAGTATTTTATCCTAAGCTGTAGCTTACCTCTCTCTCTTTTTTTTTTTTTTTTTTTTTGAGACGGAGTTTCACCCTGTCACCCAGGCTGGAGTGCAATGGCACCAACTGGGGTCACTGCAACCTCTGCCTCCCGGGTTCAAAAGATTCTCCTGCCTCAGTTTCCTGAGTAGCTGGGATCAGGGGCCTGCCACCATGCCCAGCTATTTTTGTAATTTTAGTAAAGACATGGTTTAACCATATTGGCCAGGCTGGTCTCAAACTCCTGACTTTAAGTGATCTGCCCACCTCGGCCTCCCAAAGTGCTGGGATTACAGGCATAAGCCACCGCGCCTGGCCTGTAGCTTATCTCTTTATAGGATCTTGTGGAAATCAATAGATTTTAATTTTGATGAAGAACAACTTAACAATATCTTCCATAATAACTTTGCTTTTGGTTCTCATATCTTAACTTTTCTTAAAAATTATTTTCCTAAAAGTTTATAATTTTACATTTAAATCTAAAAATAATTTTGAATTAATTTGTGTATGTGGTCCTATGTTTATTTCTAAAAGTTTTGTAGCTTTAATTTTGCATTTAAATCCATGATCTATATTCAATTAACTTTTGTATACTGTATGACTTCAGTGTGAATCATAGGCTAAGGTTTTTTTCTTTTTTGGCCTATGAATGGCTAGTTAGTCCAGTACTCCAGCACCTATCCACATATTGTATTAAAAATTTACTAAGGGCCGGGAGCGGTGGCTCACGCCTATAATCCCAGCACTTTGGGAGGCCAAGAGGGGTGGATCACGAGATCGGATCAAGACCATTCTGGCTAACACGGTGAAACCCCGTCTCCACTAAAAATACAAAAAAAAAAAAAAAAAAAAAAAAATTAGCCAGGCGTGGTAGCAGGGGCCTATAGTCCCAGCTACTAGGGAGGCTGAGGCAGGCGAATGGCATGAACCCAGGAGGCGGAGCTTGCAGTGAGCTGAGATGGCGCCACTGCACTTCAGCCTGGGCGACAGAGCGAGACACCATCTCAAAAAAAAAAAAAAAAAAAATACTAAGAAAATTAATACCCTTTAATTCTGTGTTCATGTTCTATATTATTTGAACTCATTAGGAAAAAATTATACATTTTTCAGACAATATCTCCAATATTGGCATTTGCTAATTGTATGTATTTTCATTTTGAATCTGCATATATAACTAGTTTGTTTATTTTTCGTTGTATTCTTTTCCTGTAGAAATATTTGTTGTCATACTAGTTTGAAGATCTTAGGAATATAAAAAAATTAAAAAATCTATATTACAGGATATGCTTAAAAAGTCACTATCAAGTGAATAGGAAAAAGTAACCAATAATTTCAATATTGTAAAAAAAGTTGGATATAGATAATTACTAGAGCTCCACAATCTCAGAATCCATATTAGCTGAGGAACAGCAAAAAGAGGGTTCCAGAAATTTCAGGCTTCGTGTTCAACTCTGAGATCCACCTGGAGTCTGGTAACATATCTAAAACACATAGTGAATCCAAATCAGGATCTTCCTTTCAGAATTGGCTGGTGTCCTTCAATTAAGACGGCCGTAAAATATGCTAGGACTGCAGACCATCCAGAGCGCTGCTGCTATTCATGAAAAGCCTAAGTGAATTCTAATCCACCTGTCTGTGATAATGCTTTAGAAAATCACATTGCCAATTACAACTACCGTCTTTTCCATATTCGTATTTTCCTGCCCATAGCTGTTTGTTCTTCCTTTTGTCTTAACCAAGCCCTCCCTATCTTCTCTCTCTAAATTCATTTCACCGCATGTTCTGGACTTTCTGTCCTTTGGTAAACAAACTCTCATTCCTAACTTCTCATTTTCACATTTCCTTCATCTTCTGTGACAATGGCAATTAAGTTCTTCCTGTCTTGCACTCTCATGGGAAGGCTAATTTTCTCGTACACAGTTTTTAACTAAAAATTGAAAGCTGGAGTCTCACAGATATGCTTGATCTCCAATGCTGCCTTTATATCTGTCCTGTTCCTTCTCTTTTAAAATAGCCTTGCTTCTTTCTTTAAGACATGCCACCCAGCTACATCACCCTTCTATATCTTCTTCTCATTATTAAGTAAACATGCATCCAGTTACTACAGAATTTAAAACGTATATGATGTCTTGCTCTCCCCTTAAATATTTCACCACATTTGTTCTGACTTCAAATTCATGTGGAATTTCCAATGGTACATGGCAACTTAGTGACTGAAAAATATGATATTCAGTGAATTTCCCTTTATATCCATTCTCATGGTTACATTTGTACTTCTAATAGCGTGAATTCCTACATCACATCTCTGCAATATTATGTTGTTTTTGCACCCAATTATTCTAATTTAATTACCTCCACTATATATCTTATTTGGCCTATTGAGAATTCCAATTCTGAAGTGGACAACTTGGTTTCTCTCTTTTTTAAAAACTCTATATCTGATCTACCTGTATCTATTTTACAGCTTACACTTTAGTTTTGCTTTGTTTTTCTCTTATTTATCAATTTCTTCTTTGTTTTTTGGCGTTCCTACTAGGCTGCATGTGTTATCACGCAAGCTCTGTCATCAAAAACTTAACCATATTCCCTATCGTCCGTTTTTTTTTTTAACTCTTCTGGATAAACCCTAGTCTTGGGAAACTCCAAATGATCATCCTCTCTCCCAGTCTGAGGCTCCTGAATATTGCCGTAGTAAATTGTACAACCTTTAGATTGTGGCCACCATAAATTTAAGTGTTCAACTTCATGTTTGCCCTCAATATTGCAGAACAACCTTCCATTTCCTTCATCACCTCCCTTTCTCATTTATCACAACAGTTATTTCAAAAGTTTCCAATCGCTTTAAACTTCTGACCCTACAAACTCTCCTCTATACTCAGCAGATAAACTCACTTTCCACTTACTGAGAAAACAGGCACCAATTTTCTGCCATTAGACCTATAAATTTACTTGTATTGCCACTGCTAAATCTGTTTTCTATCGTTGGGCTTTCACTCACGTGCTGGATATCATCATTCTCCTAGCAATTTAGGGAATTTTAATTTTTACTTGCACCATTTTATCTTATTTAAAATTACCACCTCTTACTGTGTAAGCATGAGCACAAACTCAAATTGCTTTCCATCATAACTAAATGCAATGCATGCTTATCAATTATACTCCAGATTGGGAGAAAAAGTGAAATAAAAGGCATTATTGGGATAATTCATAAAATTTGCATATGAACTATATATGTTAATAGTTTTCTCTATCAGCAGTAACTTCACTGAATTTGATAATTGCATAGTAGTTATTTAGGGGAATGCCCTTTTGTTTAAGAAAATAAATGGAAGCATTTATAAGTGAAGAGAAACTAAAAGATTCAGAAATCTAGATAAAAAGTATACAGATATTGTGTCTATTGTTAGCATTCCACTATATATTTCACATTATTTTCAAATGGAGACTTAAAAAGTTAATCTATCTTGACCCATGTTACTCTCTGTCTTTCTTCTTCATCATGGCCAGACTTAATAATTGGTTTGTCTATATTTGCTATTTCATCACTTACTTTTCATGTTGTTGTAATATAGATTTTATCACCAGGGTTCTATTGAAACTTAACAATTATTACCTTATTGATATACTCTGCCTCAATTATTATTCGATCTATAAGTTGATTATCAGAGCAGCAAATGGTGAATTTGCTGCTTTTCAAGTCAAGGAAAAGCACAAGAAAAATCATGCTTATTTAATGGTTTCCAATACATGAGACAGTTAAAGAAATCTGTGTTAGAGTTCTCTGGGGAAACAACCAATAGGGGTGTGTGTGGGCGGGGGGGGAGGGGGTGGTGTACAGAGAGAGAGAGACTTATTTTAAATAATTGGTTCCTGTGACTATGTGGGGTGGCAAATATAAAATCTGCAGACCAGGTTAGAACGATGGAGACATAGGAGAGAATTGATGTGTTGTGAGTTCAAAGGCAATCTGGAGGCAGAATTTCTTCTTTCATAGGGGACTGAAGGCTTTCTCCCCCAATACCCTCAGTTTAAGGATGAAGATGAGACCCACCCACATTATGGAGAGTAATCTGCTTTACTCAAACTTTACTGACTTAAATGTTAATCACATCTAAAAAATTCCTTCACAGCAACATCTAAACTGGTATTTGACCAAACATCTGGGCATCATAGCCTAGCCAAGTTGAAACAAAAAATTCCATCGCAAAGGTAAGAGTTTATATCTAATCTTGTGGGAAAGATATTTTATTTTAGGTAGATTTGAGGGGATGAGAATGACTTCAATATGTATTTGTACCACTACAATAAATAAAAGCCCAAGCATTTCTTTCATGAATTGTTATTTTCAGTTTTGGGTTAAAGTGTTTTTTTCTTATCTTACTAAATTTCTGAAGATTAACACATTTTCAGTTTGGTATATGTAATTTTATATCAGTATTCAGTGTATAGGGAATTAGCAACTTATTTTCACTTCTCCAGTGGGAAAAATTAAATGTTCTATACAGTATCAGGTGATAATTAACATAAATCCAGTAGAATTACATTATTTCCATTTGATTCCCATTTTTGAAATAAAAAATTTCTTATAGTTTCTGACTTAAATGCTTTGTTCTTATTGAAATTCTAACAGGTTATGTTTAAAAACTGCTACATATTTAAGTTAAATTCACTCAAGTTATCAATGTACCAATTTAATAGGAATAAGTCTTTTAAATTACATTTTTACTAGCAGGAAAGCAAGAGCCATCAACCAGAAAAATGACATTCTAATAATACGTAAACAATAGACTTAGAAAAATATCAAACAATTGTAACTATGTTAAGATCAGTTTTAAATTCCCAGTTTAAAAAAATGAAAAATAAATGCATAATACTTAGCAAAAATTTTAAGATGTTCAAGAAAGTTTATGCTCTCTTGGCAATTTTCATTTTTAGAAAACAAATAATTCTCAATTATGGATGTAATCATCAAATAATTTATTTTCTCTCCTTTTCATCATCTTTATTATTAAAATGGAGCTTTTATTTTGCAGATGCTGATGCTGTATGAGAGGTTAGGAGATTTAAACTCCACTCTAATGGAAATGACCCATGGAGATAGGTGCTGAAGTTTTTGGTCTCAATAGCTGTCTCTAGGCTAAAATGTCTTAGCTCTACGTTGCCGTTCTTTGAGATACTAGTGTCTTGTGTTTATAGATTAAATAGCTTGGCTGTATAAGTACTGACCAAAAACGTATTAGCTTTTCCATAGACTCTGAATATAAAATACATTTAGCGACTGCTTCAGTGTTCACATAGAAGTAAAGTTATTTTTAAATTAACCTTTGTATGTTTTTCCAGCCTTAATGTCTTTATATGAGTTCAAGATGATGAACAGTCTTGGTATAACGTGAAAT
This sequence comes from Homo sapiens, assembly GCF_000001405.40. Classification (NCBI taxonomy): domain Eukaryota; kingdom Metazoa; phylum Chordata; class Mammalia; order Primates; family Hominidae; genus Homo; species Homo sapiens. The sequence goes on from NC_000004.12 coordinate 116,354,243, forward strand.
CATTTGTGAATTTGGATAAGAGCAGTATATGCCTATTCAAAAATATTATTCTAGGTATCTATTATATAACATGGTTACAGTATAAAGCTTTTTGTTGTTACTCTATACAGCTAAAACTCATGAAATACTCAATTACAGTTGTTAGTTAAATCAACAAAAGCACTCTAGAAACACTGCCAATTAGCTTGCTCAGATAAGTTTTAATTTGCATGTAAAGGATGTTAGTTAAATGTCAATTGCTTCCTCAAGATGAATTATTGCTATTTCTCTGTAGTTAACTCGAAAACATGTTGCAAGAATTTTGAGAGAATTTTGTTTAGACAGTAAGTCAACTGCATCTATTCAACCTCTTTTTTTTAGATTTAGCAAAGTGAGCCAATAATTGTGTCTTTTATTAAATTTTAATCAAATATTTAATTGCAATTTTATGTTATTGTGAAAACATATGGCATATGATCTAGTATTCAGATTAGTATTAATAACTACATTTTTGTTGCTGATTTTCAAATATTTGTTACATGTAGAAAAAAATGGGATTTCTGTCTGCCTAATGACATTTTTTGAGTTAGTAAACATTTTATTAGAAACAAATACTGAAAATTTCCATAGTACAAGGAGGGTAAAATGTTCATTGTCTTCTTGAAAGGTCTAGACAGAAATCCTAAGACTACAGATTAATATCATACAATTGAAGATGTTTAAAACTATGTGATCTCTAGCATTGTTCTGTGTTTTGAATATAATTATCCTGTGTACATTGATCTTGCAAGCTGAAATAGTAATAATATTAGAAAAGCCAATCAATAATTATATTAAAATCTGAGATTTGCTAAGATGAAGATGTAAAGTTCTCTGGTCTGTTATAATTGTAAATCACTCTTTATACATTTTTATTATACTTATACCCACCTCTGTTACAGAAACCACATTTTTTTTCCCTTCAACCCCTTGGCTTGTGGTTAATTGGTGCTTGATTGTTTATTTATTTATTTATTTTGAGATGGAGTCTCGCTCTGTTGCCCAGGCTGGAGTGCAGTGGCGCGATCTCGGCTAACTGCAAGCTCCGCCTTACGGGTTCATGCCATTCTCCTGCCTCAGCCTCCCGAGTAGCTGGGACTACAGGGGCCCGCCACCATGTCTGGCTAATTTTTTGTATTTTTAGTAGAAATGGGGTTTCACCGTGTTACCTAGGATGATCTCAATCTCCTGACCTCGTGATCCGCCCACCTTGGCCTCCCAAAGTGCTAGGATTACAGGCGTGAGCCACTGCACCCGGCCTGGTGCTTGATCTTTATAGCTGAAAAGAATAGTGAAATATTTTTCTCTTCCACAAAAATACTTCTGAATATTGCTTTCAAAAACAAACTTTCACAAAACTAGTTTTTGCCTCCTACCGTTGTTAATTGATTCAACAAGTACTTATTGAACACAAATGAGGTCAAAATCTATTATGGCATCTATTAAAAACTGTTATTGGCTAATATCCACAGGACAAAAAGATAAAAAATAAAGTGTTTTAAAAAATTCTGCCCTATCTATTGCATTTTCTGACCTGGATTTTGTGTTGGTGTATGTAAATATATATGTATTTATTAACAGCGACACTTCACTAAATGAATTTGGAGTGCTTATAAACTTAGGAGTGCAAATTCCAAAATTGTGTTATATTCATTTAGCAACAACAAAAAACAGCACACTAGTTCTAGTTTTGGAGGAACCAGATGCAGTTTCTAATACAAATTTTATATTGAAAAATATTATGAGATATTTTACCTGCACTTATTTAATAATTATTAAATGTATCTAATACATTTAAGTTTTTATTAAGTATGCTACAAATAATATAAACTGATAAAAAGTGATGGCCAGTATCTTGAGAAATTCCTGAGACTTGTGTGTTTACATTCGTGTGTATGAGTGTGTGTAAGAGTGTTCATGAATATGTGAAAGTGTGTGTGTTTGTGTGTGTATGTGTGTATGTGTGTAAGGATGTTGATAAGGAGTGACCTTGGGTTAGTTACATAGCCCATTTAGTGAAGCGAGCTATCTTTTATATGACAATTAATCCTTATGTTCTGGATAATATTATACCACTATTAGAATTCAATTATTAAGTAATTATGAGAAGAAATCATTCTTCTGTTTGAGATGTGAGGGTATGAAAAAGCTCAGACTTTAAAAAAATGTTAAGTCATTGCAGAAATGCTTAACATTTCTGTGTTTCTTTTATTTATTTATTTTTTGCTTTCTTTGGCTCAGAGTAGATTGGTTTCATCTCTTAAGTATATAATGGGAGTGCTTTTCCTAAATACCTTTTGACTATTCTTCCTCACCTATAGCTTTACCAATTGGTAAAGAAAAATAAATTATTTGTAAGTCTTCAGAAACATTGGGCTGTTGATAAATTGCAAAGAGCAATACCCTCAGATCTTTCTACAGGCAGTGAATGAGTAATGTGGATATGAAATATCACTGTAAAAATTACCAAAAATATTATTTTCATAGAAACCAACGTTTTTGAGACTCTGAATGCTTTTAACTCCTATGTTAGAATACATATTTTCATAAATATTCCCAGAATCCTTGAGTCAGCTTTCTAAAATCCACCTTTCAGCCTGCCCAGGCAGTCACTTTTATTCAGAACATAACTTCTTAGAAGGAATGAGGAGACAATTAATCCTGAAGTGAATTCTTTAATACTAGAGAAGGTGAAAAGAATACAACTTAGCACAAGTCAACTAGTTGTGAATTATAGGAAATATAGTTCTATATTATTATTACTCTGTGTTTGAGACTTTCTTTTACAAAAAGAATCTATAATTTGAGAGGAGTTTTCTGTAGAATCATAGCAAGCCTTCATTTTTTAAAAATATTTCCCATTCTTAGTTTTTTTCTTCTAGATAATAGAATTAAAAGCAAATGTTTGTAGAGTGTGACAAATAGCAAACAAATTTATGTAAAATTAAGTAAAATTGGTTGCTTGGAATCAAGCAACAAAAATAGTTGACCTAATTTCAAATTTCTCAATTGACATTGGTTTGTGCACTAATTGCTTAAAACAGATATATCTGCAGATAGTTTCATCCTTAAAAGGAATATTGTTTGCAATTATGTATGATGCTTTGAATCATATTAAACAAAGATATTAAAACATGATGCCATCCAAATGTTGGTTGGCTATTCTGTCTCCTCCATACACACTTTTTTACATAATTGTAGTACAAATATTCCTAACCTCAGTAATCTAGAGCACTCAAATATAGGTCAAACCACATCTAGTAACACTGAAAAAAATCCTTTTAATTTCCTTTAATTTTTGTTGTGGTGGGAAGTAAAATAGGTTACTATAACCCCTTACTTTTGGTTCTCTGCTTGCTTTATTTCATTCTTATTATTTTTTTAAAAGTTCAGGTGCAATTTATATACGATAAAAAATAAAATGCTAAAATGGAAACTCAAAGTATACAAAAAAGAAAACACACAGTTCTAAGTGTTCTATTTGATGAATTTTGCTAATTCCATGGAAATGTGAAACTTACAAAAGAAAAAAATAAAGCAAAGAATGATGGAGAACATTTCATCACTAAAGTTCCCCAGTGTAAGGGAAATGGCTGCACTTTAGTCAGGAGTAGGCCAAGGCAGGCTTCTGATGTGGCATGACTCAGCAGGTTTGGAGCACAGGTGCACAACTCTGCACATTATGTAACCACTCCATGTGAGGCGCATTATGTAACCACTCACATGACCTCGCACTTGGCTCGGAGCCACTATTGTCTGTAAAAGGTATAACTACCCTGCTGATGCTGTACATACGGATGGCTTGCTTGCTCCCAGAGAGAGAACAAAGCCATGTTGAAACTTCTTACAATTCCTCAAGTGTTCTTTCAGCTGTCTGCCACTTGTCTACCCACTCCCTTCGGTCCTCAGCTTGGGTTGGAATCTGACACTTGGTGTGACACTTGACATAGTCGACAGGATGCCAAAGTGAGTGAGCCTTTGGCCCCTGTTGATTCCAGGTCAGCCATGTGGCCACAACATGGATTGTGGTACTTGGATAGGCTGTGCTTACAAGCATCTGTGCTGCTTGGATGGGCTCTGGTGGAAACCTGGGTGGTGGTAGGTGGGTCCCCCACAAGCATGGAGAAGGCACTGAAGCAGCTGGAAGCACAGAGCATCGAGAAGGAGCCAGCCTTTGCCAGCAGTTGGTTGGGCATTTGTGACTGTGCTGCAGGAATTGCCTGCTTAGTCCCTAAGGGGTCCCGCGGGGAGGTGTGGGAATTAAAGAAACAGTGTTACCAGCGTCCAGGAAACCCCTGCCCACCTGGATGCTTTGTCTGTGAAACGAGGGGGCAGATTGTATATGCTGTTCCACCTCTGAGATGGAAAAGCTGGCCTCTATCACAACTCATCCCTTCTTTCGTCAGTGGCTGCAAGTAAGTAGCTGGCTGGAACAAGGGCAAGGTGACCACACCCTGACTGAGAGGCTATGGGCAACCACAGGAACTGTGAACGATGCCGGTGAAATACTCAAAACTGTCAGTAGATGGCAGTCGTATACAGACTTGGTGCAAGTCATTCAGGAGAAGGGTAATGCTGCATGACCAGGTCCCTCCCGGGAGTTCCAGTTCAAAGATTATTTGCTGCAGCTGGGCGCGGGTGTAGAGCTTTTTCTATTTGATTAAGGAACTGGCCAAGGTGACCAGCTTAGAAAAACACCGGACGACTGGAGGCCACATGTGAAATTAGCAATCCACTTGTCCCCCACCAACATACGGCAAGTGCTGGCACTGGTAGACACTAGCACAGATACATTCTATGGGTGGACATTCTACATGGCTTGGCAGCTGACCCATTTATCACGGACTTGATGGACCACTTTATGATGAAATTGGAACAGTACCACTATAGTGGAACAATAGTGGCCACATAGTGGCCAATGCATTCTTCTCAATTGACATTGCTCTAGAGAGCCAGAAATAGCTTTCCTTCATGGAACGATGACAATGGACTTTCACAGTGTTGCCGCAGGGCTATATGCATAGCCTCACTATATGTCATGGTCTCTATATGTCATGGGTGATATTATGTTAACTTCTGATTATTTTGCAGATTTAGAAATGGCAATGCTCCTCTTTCCTGGGATTGGAATGGTGCGGCTGGGACCTCCTTCCTAGCAGCCAGCTGGGCTATTCAGCAGGCACAAGCCCTACAGGAAGTTGACCAGGGGCACCCATTTGAGCTGCATGTGCATGTGACCACAGATGGTTTTGGCTGGGGCCCCTCGCAGTGCACGGAGCCCTTTAGAATGCCAGTAGATTTTTGGTCCCAACTTTGGAAAGCAGCTGAGCTCCGGTATTTCTTGACAGAGAAACAGCAGCTGTATATGCCGCCCTTCAGCCTCATGAGAGCATGACAAGATAGGCTACAGTTGTCATGCGGACAACATACTCTATAGTGGGATGGGTGCATTCATGGGCAATGACCCCTTGGACTGGGACAGCGCAGACATCCACCTTAGCAAAGTGGGACACGTACTTTGAGCAGCGGAGTACTCTGAGTATGAGTCCCTTAGAAGCAGAGCTGCAAGAGGTCTTGGGACCTGTAGTCCTAATGCAAGATAAGGCCATGGGGCCTGAGGCACCCCTAGACCCCAAGCCAGCACCATTTAAGGAAGGGAGCCCCCCTATTGCCAGTGGGTCATGGTACACAGATGGGTCTAGCCAAGATACTACTGCTTCCTGGAAAACTGTTGCAGTCCAACCTAATATTGACACCATACGGTTTGAAACTGAGTATGGGCAAAGTAGCCAATGGGCTGAAGTTAGATCAGTGTGGATGGTGATCACTAAGGAGGTGACACCTATGACAATCTGTACCAATAGCTGGGTGGTCTCTTGAGGCTTAACCTTGTGGTTACCTACCTGGAAAATACAGAAGTGGCCACTTGGTCACTGGTCCATGTGGGGCCAAGCTATGTGGCAAAACTTATGGGAGGAAGGATGACCTCCCACAACCAGGTGTGGAGATGAATGGTAGGCAAGAGAACAGAAAACTTGGCTGTGACCATGGACCACATGGACCAAAGCCCCCCACTCCTGGTAGCTGGCCATCAAAGCTCCCTGGGTAGAGGGCCTACAGTATGACTTGCATGAAACTCCTTGGGTGTTCAATACATGTCCCTCACAGTTGACTGTTCATAGGGGAACAGTCGGGGGGGAACCCTTCTCCAGGGGACATATGTACTGTCTGCATGTCCTATTATGAGCTTTCCTGTGACTTTGGCATATATACAGGACCCAAAGTAATCATGGGGAGCCGAGAAAATGTGCTACCATCGCCCAGTGCAGAAACCTTTGGTGGCTGCATTCTTATCCAGGATGAAAGGTTAGCCTGTATTTTGCCTGAGGGATGTGATTTACCTCTGTTAGTACCTGTGCCTGCTCTGTCATTTTGACCATTGGTTAACATGCTCCGATTGCATTGTGGGCTGGGCCCTCGACTACACTGAGGTAACCAATGTTTCCAACAGTTGGATCTGCATTGCCCTTCCAGCAGCAGCTGCAGATGGCTTGCCTCAGCACATACATTCAGGGTCTGCAGAGAACTGAACATGGCTGGAGATTTGGGGTCCCATGACCGATGCCTGGAACGCAACATGGCTAGCCTTGGACAAAGGACACTGCAAGACCCATGGTACACCCACCTCCTGGCTGGCCCATAGTGTTTATGATGGGTGGGACTGGCTAGTGGGGGAACATGTAGTACCCCTGACCCAAGCAACATGGTGCATAGAACAGCATTAGGGTACCGCCACTGTGGGATGGATGCCCCTTACGACCTGTGCAAACATAACACATGTCACCACACTGAAGGTATGGTATAGCAAGCAGCCCCACCACGGTCAGGCTCTGATGGACTTTGTGCCCCCTGGGAGTTTATGAGTCTGTGGGTACACAGGGTGGTCTTACCAGTGAACTGGACTGGCTGTTGTACATGGGGGTGGTCTTATGTACGTGCCACTGTTCTCCCCACATTGCCCAGACACTCACATAACTGGGAGGTGGTACGCTCTTGGTTTTTGCAAGTGTGATGAGCCCCCTGGTGGTTCTACCCCTTAGAAATGACTATCCCTGGAGCCGGTGTCCTAACTGTAGAAGCACAAGTTACCTCTCTTGCAGAGCACACCGCTTGGGCTCTGAATTACACCTAAGTAGCCCTCTTGCTGTTAATGGATGAGGTTGATCAGATGAGAAAAATGGTGTTACAAAACTGAATGGCCTTACACATAGTAACTGCTGCCCAAGGAGGCACCTGTGCCCTTTTAGGAACACAATGTTGCACCTTTATTCCTGACAATGGGCAGAACATAACAGCAGCCCTGCAAAGGGTCTCACAGGAGATTAAGGTGGTCAAAAGCCTTAATCTGCAAGATTACCCCCTGCAGAGATGGTGGGCATCTCTAGGCTCTGGCTCTTGCTGGGCCCTAATAGTCACAAGTAGCATAGCTGGGATCCTAGTAGTGAGCTGTTGCTCTCTGTGTTGTTGTTGTGGGTTATGAATTCGGGGCTCTGCCTTATGGGCACATGTCCCTGCCTGGAGGATGCCCTCAGCTGAGGTGGTGGAGTATAAGGGAAATGGCTGTGCTTTAGTCAGGAGTCTGCCAAGGCAGCCTTCCAGTGCAGCATGTCTCAGCGGGTTCGGAACACAGGCACACGACTCTGCTCTTTATGTAACCATGCCACATGAGGCACATTATGTAACCATACCATCTGAGGTGCATTAGGTAACCACTCACATGAGCTCATGCTTGGCTCAGAGTCACTATTGTCTGTAAAAGGTACAGCTACCCTACTGATGCTGTACATATGGCTGGCTTGCTTGTGCCCAGAGAGAGAATAAAGCCATGTCAAAACTCCCTATGATTGCTTGAGTGTTCTTTCAGCTGCCTGTCACTTGTCCACCCACTTCCCTCAGTCCTCAGCTTGGGCTGGAGCCTGACACTTGGAGTGACACCCAGTGTTTATTTCCAGGCAGATTTCCCTATATTCTAATCTGGGTGTTTTTTTCACTGTATCTCTCACCATAGATTAATTATAACTAATCAAGAACTTGGTAAATGGAATAACATAATATGTAATCTTGGGTGGCTGACTTCTCTCACTCATTTACCTATTGCATTTACCAGCACATTTTAATTGTTGAGAAGCATCTCATTGTGTAAGTACATTACAATTTGTTTATCTGTAACCCTGTTCATGAACATTTGGATTGCTTCCAATTTGAGGTTAATATAGGTAAGATTGTTATGAATATATACAGGTCTTTTATGAATGTAGGTTTTTAAAAATCTCCTAAGTAAACACATAGCAGTCAAACTGCTGAATCTCAGAATAGCAATAAGTTTAACATTTTAAGAAAATGCCAAATTATTTACCATAGAGGCTATAGCAGTTTACCTTCCACAGCAATCAGCTAGGTAATGGGCTGGAAAATTTCATTAGAAAAAGAAAAAAAGTAGATTAAGACAAAATAAGCCATGAATAACCAGGCATCAAAGAGGAATGTCTTCCCTAAGTGAATTATCTTGGATAAATTATAGTTCCAGTAGGCAATAGAAAAGTAGGGCAAGAAAATAAAATAAGACTCTAAATGGAAGGCTGGGGAGTGCAATGAATTTGGTAGGATTCCAAAGGCTGACACAACCCTTGCTTTTTAAACCTTCCTATAACCACTCACAACCTCAATTTTCTTTCCTCTGCAAAAGATATGTATCCCCTTTGGTTTCGAGGTAGCAGATAATTGGAGAACTAAATTGCAACAATTTCACAAGTTTGAATAATTAAAGGGACTTAAAAGGACTCACAGTTTGCACTCCTGTAAGGCCTTAATGTAATTAATACCAAAGAGCAGGAGAAAGAAAGTGCAGGCAAGCATGAGGACCCAAAAGACATCCAGTGGCTGCTCCTTCCGCTTCTTTCTTAGTGGTCTAGAATGTATTAATTTTGTGGTTGCAAATCCTCTGCAAAGTATCTTGAGTTCAGGGGAACATGGGCAAAAGTTCCTATCAAGGTGTTTTAGGTCCCACTGGTCAGGTAGCCAAACCAGGCTCAGTTGCACCAGGTGTAAGTCATCAATGTACACATCCCTAATCCAGCTGGTCCAGAATACCCCAGCAACTTTATTACTTTATATTTAGCCTTATTATTTTTTATTTTTATTTTTTACAGGATCTTGCTGTCACCCAGGCTTCTGTGCAGTACAGTGGCATGATCACTGCTCATTGCAGCCTCGATCTCCCAGGCTCAATCCATCCATCTGCCTCAGCCTTCTGAGTAGCCGTGACTCCAGGCATGCACAACCAAGCCCAGATAAATTTTTTTGTGTGTTTTTTTGTAGAGATAGGGTTTCAACATGTTGCCCAGTCTGGTCTCGAATTCCTGGGCTCAAGCTATTCACCTGTCTTGGCCCTCCAAAGTGCTGGGATTATAGGCGTGAGCCACCGTGCCCAGCCTGGCCTTATCTTAACCAAGAGAATTTAAGGTATCCATAGAGATAAGCATAGAGCAGACTCAGTCCAGCAATAATATAGCTGTATCTTATATATCATTGGTAACGGCAATCAAAGGAAGCTTAACAACATTATGAACAAGTTTTCATGCTTTTTTTTCTCCAATATTTTAAACTATTTTTATTATTTTAACTTTAAGTTCCAGGGTGTATGTGCAGGTTTGTTACATAGGTAAACTTGTCTCATGGAAATTTGTGGTACAGATTATTGTATCACCCAGTTATTGAGCCTAGTACCCATTAGTTATTTTTCCTAATCCTTTTCCTCCTCCCACCTTCCACCCTCAGACAGGCCCTAGTGTGTGTTGTTCCATTCTGTCATCCATGTGTTCTCATTTAGCTTCCACTTACAAGTGAGGACATTCGGTCTTAAGTGTTCTGTTTCTGCATTAGTTTGCAATGGATAATGGCCTCCAGCTCCATCCATATTCCTGCAAAGGATGTGACCTCGTTCTTCATCCTAAAAGATATTCATTTACTTTCAAAAGTAGTTTTAAAAGCACATAAATATTAATTACAATTAATTTCAAAAGTGGTTTTAGAAATAATAGATATACTATTTATATCAACATATCAATATTTCTATCCTTATCATATAATAATATCTTCTCGTAATGATGAGGACATGTAATGATCAGGTCCTAGTTTGTTTGTCTTGTTTGGAAACATTACTGAAAATGTGTTGCAGGATAGACTTTAGTTTCTCAAAAGTAGCATCAGTGTATTCAGAGCTGATCACCTCAAAAGTAACCTTCAGACATATGCAATTATATAGACTATTACATAAGATTAGTTTAAAATTTTCTGTGAAAAGAACACTTAACATAAAATCTGCCCTCTTAATAAATTTAATAAGTGCAAAGTATCATATTGTTAACTATAGGCTCTACGTTGTAAAGTTCATTTCTAGAAATAACATAACTGAAACTTTATGCCCTGTACACTTTAAGTATATGCAGCTCTCTGTATATCAATTATGCCTAAATGAAGCTGTTAAAAATAAAGGAAAAAAAAGATTAGTTTAATATTAGTCAAATATATGAAACAGTATGTGTTTTTCTTCCAGTCTTAATTATTTTTCTAAATATCATTGGAGCATTTGCAAAAACCTTTGATATGATCATGAACAATGTGCTGGTAGAGTTGTTGTTTAACCAATGAGCATTATCTCTTCAATTAAATGATATATGTGAAAAAACAAATTATTTATGCTTATTCATAAAAAAGTTATCCCATGCGTTTGATAAGCCCTCATGCAAACGTACCATTGATTGCCTAATGTGTTTTTTCCAACCATTGTACTTTTGTTTTAAGGGTAATCTCTTTAGTATTAGTGAAAACATAGCATATTATTAACACTAATATTAATGGTAGTTGACGTTTATGAAATACTTTTCCAAATACACTACTTATTATTTAACTTTCACTAAACTTTATTACGTAGGTACTATTTTTCCTCATTTTACAGGAAAAGAAACTGAGACTTAGAATAGAGACTTTGGGTAGTGTAGCAGTAAACACAGCAGAGTCTAATGACAATTCTGACATTTACCGGAAGTGTACTTTGGGTAAAAGCCTTAAGCTCTAGTTCCTCACTTTCCTTATCTATAGAAGACAATTGTTTATCTTTTTCATACCAACAAAGCATATTATATATATGTCTTGACCATGACATTAAGGTGAATGGAAGTGTACTATATCTTAATTGATTAGTCATGATGCTGGTATTCTTCTGTCAAGTAGGAAAATAAAATTGTAAGTCTCTTAGGACATTTTTGAGGTTCTATCCATAGATACAAAATATTTCTTTAAAGCTGAAAACTGTGATACATATAGATGTGTTATTACGCTTAAGATGTAAATGTAAAGAATCCTAAAATTAAAGCTATAAGCATTGCTGATTTTGAACAAAACTATTTTTTAGTATAGCATTTGTTTCTAAGGAAAGAAAAATGCTAAGATGGCATGTGTTCTATTGTCTCAATGAAAAGATACATTACAATAAATTTAAAGTAAAGCAATCTACTCTGAAACCAAGGGGTTTTAATAGTGGAAAAGAGAAAATGTGTTTGGTTTGTGTGAATCCTTGCTTCTGTACTGCCCTCAAACCTGCTTCAGCATAGGCTCTCACTTTCTCGGTCCTGAATTCACCCTCATGAAGGCAGACAACATTCAAGGTCCAAAAAGTCACCAAGAGGTGGGTTGTTAAATTAGTCTTACTGCCCTAGCTTGTATGGAGCTTGGAGTGTCTGGATACCTGAGTGCCAAGATGATACTGCCCTCCCTTCTTAGTCCCAGGGGTACTGGTCCAGTCTTAGGATCCTAGGATGGCCTGTGCCTTCGTTTCCTGAGAGCAGTGCTCTCTCCTTTATCTCTATTTTCTTGGTCCCAATTTTGAGGCTTTGCCCTTACTCGTGTATCCTTACTGCACAAAGGAATAAATAAATCTCAACTTAAAAGAACATTACTAAGTGATTATTCTGCACTATACCCCCAGAAAAAGGTTTTTTTGTCCTGTGATTTCTTCACACAGAAAAATTTCAGAGTCTCAAAACCAAGAAAATGTATTAGACCAAAGTTTATTTTTGAATATTTTACTTTATTGTTTTTATGTTTATTTCATCATAAATTTGCTTGTAGAGCAGAACATCCTAAGAATATATTTTAAAAATTATTACTCTCTAGCTTTTGAAGGCTGTTCATTAGTGAAAATATTGACCTTTATTTGCCATGTGCTTCTTGAAGCAACTGAACTAATAACTAGAAATGCTTAATTTTGAAATGTTGTTAGCTTTTCAACTTCCTTATAAAACTATACCAGTGATTACTTTTAATGAACTTAGTAATTTGTATTTATATTACTGTAAATCTGACTTTAAAAGAAACTCTATTTTACTGAATATCTCAATAGTCTTTCTGAGTGACAGTAGAAATGTATTACAAATAATGCAGTGTAGTCTGTGTAGCTTAAAGCTGAAATTAAAAAGATTTTCTTTAAATAAGAAAGATACAACATAGCAGTAAAATAGAGCAGAATCAGGCAGGAGTAGGGGATGGCTTCAATGCCTTCATAGCTGACCACTAGAAAATAGGAATACAATGATCCTATGTAAATTAAAATGACATTTAACCTTTTCTCAGGTTATGAAATCTTAAGCATAAGGAAATTAGATTCCCTCAACTGTATAAAATTGTCTTAGTGAAATGTAAAGTCAGTTATGGGTGAGCTATACGTGTAAGTATAAAAGAAAACAATCTTAGTTATAAGTAACCTTTCTTAAAATCATAGCAATATGTAAAGTTTCTTATTACAATTGTTTCTTTCAAGTATTTCTTGTGTGATTAATAGTAATTTTTACTTTATATATTTTGGAGCTCTGTTATGTGACATATAAATTTAGCTATAAAATTCATTGTACGTATGAGAGTTTGGCAAAGAGATTGAGTTACTAGCAACACTTTTTTTTTCTTTTTCTTTTTTATTTGAGACGGAGTCTCACTCTTGTCTGTCCCCCAGGCCGGAGTGCAGTGGCACGATCTCAGCTCACTGCAACTTCCACCTCCCAGGTTCAAACAATTCTCCCGCCTCAGCCTCCTGAGTAGCTGGGATTACAGGCACACACCTCCATGCCCAGTTAATTTTTTGTATTCTTAGTAGAGACAGGGTTTCACCATGCTGGCCAGGCTGGTCTTGAACTCCTTACCTCATGATCCACCCGCCTCGGCCTCCCAAAGTGCTGGGATTACAGACATGAGCCACTGTGCCCAGCTAGCAACACTTTTTAAAATCACTGATATTTTTGGATACAACATATTATCAAAGTTATACACTGGGTAAGCATCACATGGACAGTCAAACAGAAAAAGCTTTACAAAGAATTAAACTGGTGAACTGCATTGTAAGAAACAGATTTTTGGCATATGCGTGGTACATAGGTAAAAAAATGCCAGAGATTTCTGATAAGACTTGAAATACTGTGTTACATACATTTATTTCGTTTTGCTAATTATTTGATTTGTAATGATACCGCTTTAAAAAGATTCATTTGGATCCTGAATGCATGAATTGTATGTTGAAAACTTGATTCATGGTGACTAAGTAGCAGAAAATAACCTCATTTAATAAAGAGTGAGTATTTATTTATGCCAGGTATATAGATAGATCTTTTCACTTGTTTGTTCAAGGGATACATATTGGAATATAGTCATGATTTGGATGCTTCTTTAAGGAAATGTATCACTTTTATGACAAAATAGCATAATTTTATGATTGAGAATAAGATATATAATTTTTAAGACATCATTACTTGTAAATGGTTCAAGTAATAAAAAGCAAACCTAGTTTCATTACTAAATGATTTTACTTTTTACTCATAAGAAAGATAAATTGGCCTGGCATAGTGGCTCATGCCTGTGATCCTAAGACTTTCAGAGGCTGTGACAGAAAGATTGTTTGAGCTCAAGAGTTTGAGACCAGCCTGGGAACCATAGCAAGACCTTGTCTCTACTAAAAATTACAAAACAAACAAAAAAAATAGCTGGGAGTGATGACAGTGCCTGGAGGCTGAGGTGGCAAGACTGCTTGAGCTCAGGAGTTACAGACTACAGTGAGCTATGATCACACCTCTGCGCTCCAGCCTGGGCAACAGAGTGAGATACTGTCTTAAAAAAAAGAAAACAAGATAACTAAATTATGCCACAGCATATTAACAAAGTAACAATAAAGACAATTACGTAAGGACTGAATTAGGAAGCCATTTGTCACTGACTGCAATAAATTAAACTGTAACATTTAATTTCCCAGCATGTTCATTGATTAAGCTTCTAATACTAGTGCTGGAAGTAGTCTGTATTTAGAAATGTCTAATTTCTCAATATGTACTTAATATAAATGTATAAAAATATGAAGATTTTCAAACATTTACTCCCATTTTCAATGGCCAAAAACTGTGAACTAACTTGAGAAATAATGACAAGAAAATATAAGTATAAAGCAAATAAATCAATGTGAAGAGGAAATGCTAAGAACTGTTTCCATAGCAGCATATTCTCCATAGCAGTATTAAGGGAAAATACTGGAGTAGAATACAATATAAAAAAAATCTATTAAGATAGCCCATGCCCTAGATTCTTAAAAAAAGGGTTAGTCCTCTACTGGCTTTGACAAATTTGTTAAATGGATAAATTACCAAACTGAAGCATAACTTGAAAGACAAGAAAACTATTTCTTGAAAATACATAAGCTAATTTAAACTAGCCTGAAGATTGTTTTCCAATGTATTTTTCTGTAAATAAATTAATATTGCTTCAGTGTAAGATTTTCTTCGTACATTATACAGGAAGTTAAAGAGGAGCAATAAATACCCTGTCAGAAATTTTTAAATAATTGCTATCTAGTAAATAAAATTGCATTACAAATTTTTAAAAAACCAATTGGCCCTCTCATACCCAAGGTAGGAATAAGGCTTTATATCTCATGCACTGGTGAAATTAAATACAAAACATTTAGAAGCATCATCAACAAAGATATACTGCTAAATTACCTGAATATATTTTTAATATGCAAAATAAATTTTTGAGTTGAATAATTAACAAACTTATAGTAGTAAAGATAAATGTTTTCAAAGCAATGCTTTAAGAAAAGCAAGGGAATAAATTAGAATATATCCAAAATTACATGTTTAGTGTGGGTAAATTTAAAATATTGTCTCATTTTCACATATAAACAATTAATACTCATTAATGTAAACAACACAAAATGGCAATACAAATAATCTCAAATTGTAGCATAAAATACTTCAAATATTGTAAAACTAATTGCTAACTTAAAACAAAAACATATGCCAATGATCAATAAAGACAAATTTTAATATTTACCCTTCATACTTAAAAAAATTATTTCTATAGGTTATAGGGGAACAGGCAGTGTTTGTTTACACGAATAAGTTCTTTAGTGGTGATTTGTGAGATTCTGGTGCACCCATCACCTAGCAGGATTCACTGCATCCAATTTGTATTATTTTATCCCTCACCCCCTTCATACTCTTTCCCTCTGAGTCTCCAGAGTCCATTGTGTTATTCTTATTGTCCTCATAGCTTAGCTCCCACTTATGAGTGAGAACATATGATGTTTGGTTTTCCATTCCTGAGTCACTTCACTTAGAATAATAGTCTCCAATCTCATCCAGGTTGCTGCAAATGCCATTAATTCATTCCTTTTTATGACTGAGTAGTATTCCATTGTGCATGTGTGTGTGTGTGTGTGTGTGTGTGTGTGTGTATATATATATATATATATACAAAAAATGCATGTGCAAGTGTATAACTTCTTTTCCTCTGGGTAGATAGGCATTAGCAGTAGTGGGATTGTTAGATCAAATAGTAGTTCTACTTTCAGTTCTTTAAGGAATCTCCACACTGCTTTCCATAGTGGTTGTACTAGTTTACATTCCCACCAGCATTGTAGAAGTGTTCCTTGTTCACCACATCCATACCAACGTCTATTATTTTATCATTTTTTGATTATGGCCATTCTTGCAGGAGTAAGGTGATATCACACTGTGGTTTTCATTTGCATTTCCCTGATCATTAGCGATGTTGAGCATATTTTCCTGTGTTTGGTGGGCATTTGTATATCTTCTTTTGAGAATTGTCTATTCATGTCTTTAGTCCACTTTTTTATAGGATTGTTTGTTTTTTTTCTTGCTAATTTGTTTGAGTTTATTGTAGATTCTGGATATTAGTCCTTTGTCAGATATATAGATTGTGGAGATTTTCTCCCACTCTCTGGGTTGTCTGTTTACTCAGCTGACTGTTCCTTTTGCCATGCAAAACCTCTTTAGTTTAATTAAGTCCCATTGTATTTATTTTTGTTTTTATTGCATTTGTTTTTGGGTTCTTGGTCATGCATTCCTTGTCTAAACCAATGTATAGAAGGATTTTTCCAATGTTATCTTTTAGAATTTTTATAGGGTGAGGCCTTAGATTTAAGTCCTTGATCCATCTTGAGTTGATTTTTGTATAAAGTGAGAGATGAGGATCCAGTTTCATTTTCTAACGTATGAATTGCCAATTATCTCAGCACCATTTGTTTAATAAGGTGTCCTTTCCCCACTTTATCTTTTTGTTTGCTTTGTTAAAGATAGTTGGCTGTTAAGTATTTGGGTTTGTTTCTGGGTTTTGTACTCTGTTCCATTGGTCTATGTGCCTATTTTTATACCAGTACCATGCTGTTTTGGTGACTATGGCCTTATGATATAGTTGGAAATCAGGTAATGTGATGCCTACAGATTAAAAATCTCATTCTTCCCACTAAAACAAATAAACAAATAAAACAGAAAAAAACACTTGCATTGTTGTCAATTTAAGGGACATCCTCCTACTATTTTTGTAAAATACACAAATTATGTAGTTATTGTTGGGGTTTGTATTATATTCTCAAACCTGTAATTTTAATATGTACATTATTTTGATTTTGATTTTTCTCATATTATAAGTTGTTTCATCCTTGTCATGTCATCATTTCTTAATGTAGTTTTCCTTTACACAATGTTTTTATGTTTCAGACACTTTCTTAAATGCTTGATAAATATTAAGTCATTTAGTCCTTGAAGCGTCCCAACAAAAGTTAGGCATTACTATTTATAGATGATAAAACTGGGGCACAAATAGATAAAATAATTTCTTCCAGTTTGCATAACAAGTATATGGGAGAGCTGTGATTTGAATTTAGAAGTTCTGGCTCTAGATTCCAACTTCTTCAAAGAAAGCACTTTTGGTAGAAACATAAGTGCTACAAAATTCTTCAAGGTGTGTGTTCTGGAAATATTTATAGCCATGAAAATACACACCCATAGTGTGGCATTTTATGATGTAATTATAAAGTGGTCTGTAGATACAAACCTGAAGTAAATCCCATGATGTAATGTTAATGGAAAAACTTGCGATTTAGAGTAATCTACTGTAGTATTTATTTCTGGATTCTTAACTTTGTTGTATCTGTTGAATTAATGTTTTCACATCAAAATGATGTTAAATTGATATCCATGACTTGTATGTTCTGAGCAAATTTTCCTTTTCTGTGATACATTTTTATGTTTATTTTTAGCTAATTTAGCTGAAAACATTTTAAAAGTATTATGTTGAAATAAAAGTATTTGTAGAGATAATTTTTGAATAATTTTTATTCTGATGATACTAAATTTTCCACTTAATAGCATGGCATACTTTCTACATTTTCATAAAATATTTTATAAATTTTATGTCATTTTGTGTTTTTCTTATATATCTCATTCCATTCTTATCAAATACCTTTATGTCCTTATTATACACTTTTACACTATTTTAAATGCATTATTCCCCCATTCCTATTGCTAACTATTTATTGCTTAGGTATAAGTAAGCAATTCATTTTGAGATATTTATCTATGTATCTATCTAATGTTTTAGGTCACCTTCCAAAAATTTATTTATGTATTCATTCATTAATTCATTAATTTATTCATTTATTTTAAAATTATATATAGAGTTTCTTATTTTTTCAAAGAAGGGAGAAAAGAGAAGAAAAACTTAAGGAGATTTCATGGTGTCTGTTTGTGCCACTGCTGTCACTTCTAAATTTCTGACTGCATTAAATTGAGGCTGAGGGATACAGAGAGGAAAATAATGGTAAATCACTACACGTTCAATGGTGCTTTAAGTCACGGTGTTCTTTAGTGATTTACTACCTGCTATCTACTTTCAAAGTTCTCAAATAGCTGCTATATTTCTTTTGAATAATTTTGTATGGTTTTATTCATTGAATGGGACAGCTAAAGTATATTTATATCAATTTTTGCCCAGAACTGAAAACCCTGTTATTCACTTTTAAGTTCTTAACATATGATTTAATAAAAGGGATGTGATTTCTTATCATCACTGGCTTTATTCCAATAGATTGCAGGCTTATGGTTGTATAATTAACTCCAAACTCATAAAGTTATACTTATTAAGTATGCACAGTATTTTGTATGCCAATCATACCTCAAGAAAGTGGTTTTGAAAACACTATTAAATATTTATCCTTATTTTTTTGTCTGATAATAATATAGCCAATTCCATTTTCTTCTGTTTTGAAACTCTTCTAAATTTGTTTCATTTAAAAATGTAGTTCAGAGTATAGTTCTTCAGAAATCAGAAAGAAAATGCTTCATAGAACATAAAACATTTTGATAAAACATGTATAAATATACAGACCTTCAACTAGATAATTAACCACTGCTTCTCACAGACATACCCATTAAATGTATGCCCCCTCAACATCTATATCTATTAATATAAAATATTAAGTTCAAGCACAGCAATAAATAGCCAATAAAATCTTTAAGAGAAAAATAAAGGTATACATTTTGATCCACAAGTAGAACTTTTTTCCTTAAAATTGCACTCAAATTACATCCTGTCTTTTGTTTTGTCTCTAATAAAGTGTAAGTCATTTCTACACTGCTCAGAAGAAGAATGATTGGATTCAGAGAGGGTTAGCTTAATGTAATCCATCAAATATTTAATATTAATAGTAGCTGCAAGCAATACATCAACCTTATTTATAATAAATACAAATAGAAGAAAAACAAATGGATAAGACATTGAAATTCTCTTTCCATGCTTATAATGAATTAGTTTCCATGCCCTCAAAGCATATATTGAATACGGTAGGTGGATGTCATTGTAGGGTTATTTTTAATATGCTAATATTTTACTATTGGAGAAATAATATTTTATAATGGTTACTACAAAGTTTTAATTAACATATAATTTATTAAGTACAGTAATCCCTTGGTATCCACGGGGGATTGATTGGTTCAAGGATTTTCTGTGGATACCAAAATCCACAGATGTTCAAGTCCCTTTATATAAATTGTGTAATATTTGCATATAACTTGTGCACATCCTCTCATATACTTAAATCATCTCTGGATTACATATAATACCTAACACAATGTAAATGCAATATAAATTGTTGTTACGTTATACTGTTTAGGGAATAAAGACCAAAAAAAAAAAAGCCTGTACATGTTTAGTACAGATTCACTTTTTCTTTGAATACTTTCTATTCATGGTTAATTGAATCTATGGATGTGGAATCCATGGATAATGAGAAACAATTATATCAATAATTCCTTAAAATTACTAAATTAGAACAATTATATTTTAGAAATATAGAAAGGCAAAATGTTTGCTGTTTTAAATATCACAAGTAATTATGAGAGCTAGGCATGACCCTCATGTTTTTAAATCCTTCTTATCATTTTGATTCATGATATGTTTTTCAAATAAAAATGCTGTTTTGTCACAGTTTTTTAAATTGTAAATGTATATTTATGAAACATACATTAGGCCTCTTTCTGAATCCATCTGAATTATAAATGATAAAATTCACTGACTTTTTTTTTTTTTTGGGACAGAATCTGTCACCCAGGCTGGAGTGCAGTGATGTGATCTCAATCTTGGCTCACTGCAACCTCCCCCTCCCGGGTTCAGGCAACTCTCATGTGTGCCTCAGCCTCCTAAGTAGCTGAAATTATAGGTGTGCACCACAACGCCCACTAATTTTTTTTATTTTTAGTAGAGACAGGGTTTTGCTATGTTGGCCAGGCTGGTCTTGAACTCCTGGCCTCAAGTGATTCCCCTGCCTTGGCCTTTCTAAATGCTGGGATTACAGGTGTGAGCCACTGTGCCAGGCCAAAACCCACTGACTTCTAATTGTATAGCTGGTCTCCAATGTACTATTGTTCCCCTTGCCTTTTTTGAGTTTACAAGGGTGCCGAAGTGGTGCATATTCAGTTGAAACCACTCTTTGAGTACCAATGCAATAATTCTGTTTTTCATTTTCAGTACAGTAATCAATAAATTACAAGAGGTATTCAACTTTATAATAAAATGGCTTGGTGTTAGATTACTTTGCTCAAATGTGAGCTAATGTAAATGTTCTGAGCACTATTAAGGTAGGCTAAGCTAAGCTATGATGTTCTGTAGCTCAGGAATATTACATGTATTTCCTATTCAAAACATCTTCAACTTATGAGGAGCTTGCCAGGAGGCATAACTGCATATATATATATATATATATATATATATTTTTTTTTTTTCTCTCATTCTTTTTGCACTGTGGAGACTCAGTGAAAAGACAGCTGTGTGTGAACGAGGAAGTGGGCCTTCACCAGTCACCAAATCTGCCAGTGCTTTCATTTTGGACTTCTCATACTCTAGAAAGGTGAGAAATGCATTTCTATTGTTTATAAGTCGCCCAGTTTATGGTATTCTGTTATAACAGCCTAAACAGAGTAAGACATAAATTGATACTAAGAGGTGAGGGTGTTGACGTTAAAAAGAATACCTAAAAATGTGGAAATGCCTTGGAACTGGGTGATGAGCAGAGGATGGAAGAGGTTTAAAATGCTTGCTACAAAAGGCCTGCATTGCTATGAGCAAACATTTAAAGGTGATTCTGGTGAGGGCTCAGAGAGAAAAGAAGAATACTGTAGAGAAAGTGTCAGCCTTCTTAAAGAATACTTAAGTAATTCTGAACAAATTGTTGATAAAAATATGGATGGCAAAGGTCACCTGAAGAGGTCCCAAACATAAATGAGGAACATGTTATTGAAAACTGGATGAAAGGGTATCCCTGTTATAAAGTGTCAAAGAACTTGGCATAAAGTAAATGGTGTGAGCTATGAAATTGGATATTCAGCTGAAGCAAACTCTAAGCAGAGAATTGTAGGAGTGGCCTGGCTTCTCCTGACTTACATAGAGTAAAATGGGAGAAGAGAGAAATGACATGAAGATGAAATTGTTAATCAAATAGGAATTCGAACTTAAAGATTTGAAAAGTTCTCAGCTTATCTATCTTGTTAAAAAAAAATGTGAAAGCAAGGTTTGAAGAGACCACTAAGGGTATGGCCAAATCACCAAATAAAGAGAATAGTCAGCTATCTCAACCAGAAGCCTGGAGCTACTGTTCAATACAGTGGAAGAGTGGAAAGGAAGGGCTGACAGCCTGTGAACCAGGAAGTGAGCCCTCACCAGATGCTGAATCTGTCAATACATTGATCATGAACTTTCTTGTCTCCAGAACTGTGAGAAATAAATTTCTGATATTTATAAGCTACTTAATTTATGATATTTTGTTATAGCAGCTTGAACAGACTAAACCAATAGACATTCTGCTCTCATTCCTGATTTTAAATAGTACAATTCTTATATTTTACCATAATGTGTGATATTCATTATGGCTTTTTAATGATTATTTTATCAGATTGAGTTTTAAAATTTTAATCCGAATAGATTTTGAATCATGTTGCATTCATTCTGCATCTATTGAGATAATCATATTTTTGTAGTGCTAGATAATTTAGGAGACTTTATATTTAGAACAGTTTCAGTTTTATAACAAAATTGAACAGAAATACGAGAGTTCCCATATTTTTACTATTCTCACACATGTGCAGCCTCCCACACTATGAGCATTCCCCACTAGAGTGTTACATTTATTATAACTGATGAACCTACATTGGCATGTCTCAACACCATTCAAAGTTCATAGCTTACACTAGAGTTCTGCCTTAGTATTATACAAGACAATAATATGTTTTTAACTTGATATTTCAGTACACTGGGTTATATTAATATATGTCTAAATTTATAAAGAGAAAACTGAAAAAAAGTTAAGTTATACAAGGCAGGGAAGTTAGAATTCAAATCCTGTCATTCTAGTTTTAAAGTCTATATATACCTTTATCCATTATAATACAGTGTCTATAAGCTTATGCTGTTTACAAGGAAAGCACACAAAGTAGAAAGTCAAAAAATGGAAAACAAGATATATGAATTATTATGAGATTTTCCTACTATATGTCTAGGTATGGATTTTTTTTTACTCTGTCCATTCAGGGTTTTGTTTCTTTTATTTCCCTGCATCCCCACATGAAATATATATTCCAAGCGATTACTAATGTATTTTTCATAGACTCTAGATTGTTTCAATGAATTTTTTATGTCAAAATGTACTTGCAGAATATTTAGCATATTGTAAATGACTGATAATTGTAGTACATGAATAAACATCTTTAAGCTATGCACTTCAAATAATCTAATTTCAGACATATGGGGTGTGAATGATTGTCCTCTGTCCACTTCATCACATATGCCTTTGTAGCATTTCTTGAGCATTTGTGCATATCATATCCTAATATAATAAGACATGTAATTTCTTTTCAGAGTGGAGGTGGCTGTGAAAATAATAACAACATATAATTCCAAGAAACTTCATCACTTAAGTATTTTTTACTCATTTTGTTTGTGAGAAAGCTGAGGCTTAGTGAAATTAAGTTTCCCATGGTAACACAATGTTGGAACAAAATTGGAAATGAACTCTGTCCTATCTGAGGCAGTCTGAGTTTTTCTAACATTACTGTGTCATGTGTAGAAGACTCGAAAGCTCCCCATCTGTTTCATCTTCCTACTAGGTGTCTCTGCACTAGTCATGTCTTCATAATATTGCTAACCAAGTTTAATTAAAACACGCTTTTATTAAAAAACAAAATAAAACCTTTACATCTAGTATTTTTTTAGTATTTCTATAATCTGATCATGTTCTAACTATCCAAAATTAGTTTCTATTAGTTTTATCTGAACTTCTTTTTTTGCTCTTTCTTGACTTCTTATCTCTATATCTGCTCTGTAAGATTCTTTTGTTTCATGTTTGTTAACACTCCATGGACCTATCTTATTTTTCTGTAAAATAATTGAAATATTTTCCAAGGTTCAAAAGATAGATAAAATCCTACAACCTCTACAAAGCTTTTTATGAGTATTATTTTTCTGAATCTTCATTGGCCTTTAAATAGAGTACACATTTCCCCTGGATATTTTTTCAATAATACTTTAAAATTAGCATAAGCATTTTTATATTGCTTGATTAATACCTACATTTTAAAAACCATGCCACATCACTAAAGACCACCACACTAATGAAATATTTTTTAATGTTACACATAGCATTATTTCAATTATTGATGTGACATATAATTATTAACAACACCATTAAAACATGACATCACTAAATAGAAATGAAGACTAGTGTAATGGAAAGAAAATTTGCTATGGTCTTAAACAGGCTTGAATTCACACCTGATTTGATCATTTATAAGATATGTGATATGGGGTGATTATTAAGGTTATCTGAGATCTTTTTTCTTTTGAAAAATAATTTTGATAAACTTATCTTCTCTGCATAATTCATAAACTTGATTTAAGTCTTTTCATATGTTACGGAATTCCATTTAGACTAATGTACCTAGAACAGATTTCTTCTCCAACTGTTCTCCATTCTCTCACTCTACTTTTCCACACAAAATTATCACTCCCAGAAAGTGAAACATTTCTTTATTTTGTCTTTTATACTAACCTCTATGACCACATCGATCTTGACTGTTTTAATCACTGTTATAACACAGAAGCAGGAAAAGTTCTCCAAATCTAGTAATACATTAACATGTAATTAAAATATATTAATTTTAATTAAAAATGTGTTAATATTTAATATAAACATTAAATATGAATATACATGTTTTTCATAATATACACAAAATTGTGAGTCAGAAGATAGGAGGTTAGCTTCAAGTCACTAACTTAATGGGTGGCTGCAGAAGTAATAAGCCCTCTTTATCTGAGAAATCAGGGACTTGAAACAAATGTGTCACTGTACAATTTCATTTGGAATTATATAATCTTATTTTAAAAACCCTTAATTTTGTGTCAAATTTTTAAGACATTAGTTGGCTTTATATCAAAAGACAAACACAGTTAATGATGTCTTCAAAGTACTAATTATATGTTTGCCTCAATTTTACATTACTCAATGATTTGTTGGTAAGTCAAACTATTTCTTAATTATCAAATAGCCCAAAGATTTTTAAAGGTAAGTAACATAGAGATACTTCATTGAGAAATGGTATAAAAATGTATAACTAGATATTGCAGATTGGGATGGAAAATGGTTTTATTAAATTATAGAAAACTTCTGGTTCCATCCCTTTTCCAGTTCTGACCTTGCTAGAGCTGATGAGGCCACATGAAACTGTTCACCCACCATGGGCTGAGTGTGCATGTGCAGGGAGTGGGACCCTGTGGCTTCCCCTGTGCCTCCATGACACCAAGGTTCCTATCTCCCTGTGGAGTTCAACCTCCACTTCGTGGTTTGTGTGATACTCAAAGTGGAGTGAGTGGCCAATACCTTGCCCCTGATCAAGGAACCTAAAGGGCTGATTGAGGGATATGAGAATGATGCAGTTTCTGAGGAAGGTGAACCATGTGCTTCTGGAGGTGGATGTATTGGAGGTTGCCCTGCAATGCCCAGAGTCCGGACATCTGTACCCCATCAGCTGGTGGGATCCCCAACATGCTGCTGAATGATGAGGAAACAGGGTTGATCGCATCAGGCGCCAGTTTTTTTTTTTTTTTTTTGACCTTGTGAATCTTCGTTGATGAACACTCTGTCTACTAATTCTGCCATGGATATCCCCAACCCTTGACCCAATGACACACCAAACAAACAGCATTCTTTACCTCTACAGTATATCTTTTTTTCTCATTAAAATTTCAAAACCATTGAACTATCTTTCTAGAAATATCTATCTATCATCTATCTATCTATCATCTATCTATCTATCTATCTATCTATCTACCTATCTTTCTATATAGATATATAGAAAAAGAGATGAGGGACATATTTTAGAAATGGAAATAGGAGATGAGGGACATACTTTAGAAATAAAAATAGTTTAGAATGAAAATAGTTAAGTAGACTGTTAAATTATTATTGAAATAGAAAGCATAGCGATAAAATTTAACTGAATGGAGTTCACTATCATTTGCCCTAAGGTAATGTTTTCATTTCAAGGTATATATTACATAATTGACATTAAAATGACAAAATGGATATTGTTCCAGTTGAGCAGATAAATTGGGAAGATAAGAATTGTTATACATTAAAAGTTAAATTGCTTTTAAAAATTTATTTCATCTCTGTATCATTTCAATCTACTCTCTCTAAACTCACTATATTCTTTAACATGTGTTTCTGTAACATTAATTTCTAATAGATAGGACCCAGTACAATCACACTTTCTTTACACCTCTTGTATGATCAGTTTTCAAGGTAGCATCTTTTAAAATATCTGCGTCCATGATTTATTATTAAATGTAGGCATTCTTATTTGTGATGGTTAATTTGAGTGTCAACCTGATTAGATTGAAGAATGCAAAATATTGTTCCTGGGTGTGCCTGTGAGGGTACTGCCAAAGGAGATTAACGTTTGAGTCAGTGGACTGGGAGGGACAGATCCACCATTAGTCTGGGTGGGCACCATCTAATCAGCTGCCCCTGCAGCTAGAATAAAGCAGGCAGAAGAAAGTGGAATGAACCGACTTGCTGTGTCTTCTGGCCTTCATCTTTCTCCCGTGTTGGATGCTTCATGCCCTCGAACATCAGACTCCAGGTTCTTCAGCTTTTGTGAATTTATACCAGTGGTTTCCCAGGGGTTCTCAGGCCTTCAGCCACAGACTGAAGGCTGCACTGTCGGCTTCCCTACTTCTGAGGTTTTGGGACTCTGACTGATACGCCATTGGCTTCCTTGCTCCTTAACTTGCAGATGGCCTATCATGGGACATTACCTTGTGATTGTGTGAGTCAATTCTCCTTAATAAACTTCCTCTCATATATGCATATATTCTATTAGTTCTTTCCCTCTTGAGAATCCTAATACATTATTGTGTATTGAAAGACATAAAACATCTTGTAATGCTATCGGTATCAAGTTCTATGTAAAACATGAACACAGCTCTAGTTTCTTGGACAACTAATATCACTGTGGTTACACTTTTAGAGTTAAAGTGCAGGTAACAGTGTATATTAGGGAGTCACAAGACTTCTGTTAGCTATGTAATTCTGGAAAAATATCAAACTCCATAGTTTCTTCATTGCCAAATAAGGAAGGTGATAATAATAAACTTTAGATTTCCTTCTAGGGATGATTCTTCCAAACTATAAAATTTTTTTTAAAAAAGTCATAGAGGACCAAGAGAACAGAACTAGACACAATCTTCACATTGGGTAAAATAATTATTTTCCCTAACTTTTTGCCAATTAAAATGCATAACTCAAGCAGAAAAAATAAAGTTATTTGAGACAATGTATAAATAAAGTGATTCATTTCTTACAGAAACGCCAGTGGATTTATAGTTTAAATATGCAATTGAAAATTTTGGAAAAAATAACAGGCACCATGACAGAAACAGTAAAAGAGTAGGGGAAGTTTGAAAATTACAGAAAATTACAGGAAGTTTGACTGTGTTCTACCTTTGCATTGGTTTTCACAATAACTGAAGAATACTGTGATAAGTTAGAATTGTTTTTATTACAGAAATACAAATTTATTATAAAATGTTCCCTGTTTTTTGCAATAGACAATCCTTGAGTTGCTGTTCTCCTCAATGTACATCTAGCTCTGTACCTAAATTCCTTGAGCTAAAAGTAATTCCCAGGGTTTTCAGCTGTTATTTTATTTGAGAAATGATAAATAAGATTTATTCAGCATTAATATGTATTAAAAGGAATACAGAGAAATCTTTGTCCAAGAGTCATTTGAATTTATTTGTATTGTTAAAGCACTAAAGAAATATGTATTTTTTCATTCAAAATTTTTCACTTTGTCTATGCAGCCAAACTGCAGATAATTGTACTTGTAGCTCTTAGTAATAGCATGATAGTCTTAGTTTCTTCGATTGCAAAATTCTTTAAATTGAGAAGTGTGTGTTTTCAAATACATAATATGTTTAATTTTCAAGTACTCATTTTATATATGTTAAAGTGTTTCCGTTTTCAGGAATAATTCATGCAGTTAAAGAAAGGCATTTTAAAGAAATAAAGTGTCAAAACAAATTCTAGCATTCATGCATTATAGTCTATTTCATAGAAAATCATTTGAAAGAAAAAAAAACACTACTAATACTAGCCACAGATATTTTAGAAATTCAGAATTCTGATCAAGAGTATATGTTACTTTGATCATTTAGTAATGTCAAACCAATAATAAAATCATTTTAATTATTTTCTTAACATATGCTTAGAAAAGTCCCATTACAAAATTTTAAATAATGCTACTGAATAATTTCTATGAAGAAGCTGAACGGTGGTTTTAACTGCTTTTTGAAATCCATGATTTATTCTATGGATTATACTTGAATTTAGACTGTACTTCTTTCGTGCTGTATGGCTGTTACTCTTCCACATTTCTACATGATAATATAATATGTTTAAATCAGATTTTATTTTTGTTTGTTGATGTTCAAGACTAGAAAAAGAAACTGTAAAACAAACATCAGTTTTGTCCGTGAAAAAAGAATATTAGTTTTGATTTAAAGAGTTATGCAAACATAGAGTTGTAGAGAGATAGTCAGAATGTCCTATCATACAACAAGAGAAAAACCTGAAGCAACTACAAATTAGCAGTTCTTGACTCATCGAGGTCACAAGACAAAAAACTAGCCTGAATTCTGGAGAAAGATAGTAGGCTGCAAGGAGTTTGGGAGGGATAGAGACTAACATGGAAAGGCATGGAACAGAAGAGAATGGTGGAGGCTTTCTGTCACAGAAAGTGCCTTTGGTTTTCGCATTGTCTCTTGCATTTTTCTCAATCGTTTTTTTCTGGCTACCCCCTCACTTTAAATTTTTCTTGTAGAGTGATATTCATCCCATAAATATCAGTAATTCATTTTTTTAAACAGGGATGAGGACTAAGAACTTCAGCAAACATGCTAATTTATATAAATCCAAAGAGTCATCCTCAGACACCTACAAGACTGGATTCCCATATACCCACGTATAATATGACAGACAGATATTAACCCTTTAAGAGAAAGACACGAAGGCAATATTACCAGCTTCCCATATTTTCTAACCATACAGTGATCCTTATGTCAGAGGTGTGTGAGCCAGAGAAACTCCATCTTAAATAGAACCTGGGTGAAATGAGGCTGAAACCTACTGGGCTGCATTCCCAGATGGTTAAGGCATTCTAGGTCACAGGATGAGATAGGAGGTCAGCTCAAAATACAGGTCATAAAGACCTTGCTGATAAAACAGATTGCAATAAAGGAGCCTGCCAAAACCCACCAAAACCAAAATGGCGGCGAAAGTGACCTCTGGCCGTCCTCACTACTATACTCCCACCAGTGCCATGACAGTTTACGAATGCCATGGCAACGTCAGGAAGCTACCCTATATGGTCTAAAACAGGGAGCCATGAATAATACACCCCTTGTTTAGCATATCATCAAGAAATAACCATAAAAATGGGCAACCAGCAACCCTTGGGGCTGCTCTATGGAGTAGCCAATTATTCCTTAACTTTCTGAATAAACTTGCTTTCACTTTGCACTGCAGACTCGCCCTACATTCTTTCTGGCGTGAGATCCAAGAACGCTTTCTTGGGGTCTGGATCGGGACCCCTTTCCTGTAACAGTTACAGAGTTTTAGAGCCCAAATTACTCATGCTTATTCAGCTGTTTAAATACCTATTAAATTTTGATAATGAAATATGTCCTATATTTAAAAAGGTCTCATTTCTGAATCATCACCATAGAATTGAAAACAAAACCGTATCAGAATAGAGGAAAACATATTTACTCTAGCTTTGTTCAGAGTGACAGCAGGTAAGAAAACAAAATGTCAATCAATAAAATGCTTGAAAACATTTTTGAACATTCTTACTGTAGTAGTCTGATGTGCCTGGTTTTGCACAAGTCTATTCCCTTCTCTTTCCCTTTCTATAATCTGTATTGCAGAGGATAAAATTCTAAAATGTTTAATTCCCAATCACTCTCACCTACTAGCTTCTGGAGAAGTACTGCCACTGTGAGAACTTACAGAAGCTAAAGAGAAGCTCAGGATTGTTCCTCCTCCTCTCTGCTGCAGGCAACGTTTCTGGTAGAGACAGTTTCTTCTTTAGAACTCCGCTAGGTTTCAAATATTTTTCATGTAATAGTACACTGATGTTATATTTCTAAAAGGTAATCAACTCTGCTTTATTTCCATGATAGAATCTGTATATTATCTTTGTCATCTGTAAAGGAAAATTTATACTTCAAATTTTATTGCAGTTGTCAGTCTCAAAGACAGTTTAAAAATCACTAGAACCCCCAATTCTACATATTTAGCTTAGAGTAACAATTAAATGAATAAATATTTTAACAGTGTTCACTGCAGCATTTTAGTAACAGCAATTAAAAAAAAACTGATTATGCACACCAGGAGAATGAATGATTAAACTGCTATATCCTTAGAATAGGATATTATAAAGGGGTGGAAATAAATAAACTACAGCTACACTGAAACACAAGGATAAAACTTGGAATCATAACTAAAAATGCTACAGAAGACAGCTTTCATTATAAACTAATAATATAAAAACTACGTAAAAAGCAAGAAATTGGTAATTATGAATGTCAACCTGATGGTCACTTGAGAAGCTACACTCTAGTTCTTAAGTTGGGTATGATAAAATTGTAGTTTTTGGTAAAATAATAATGATAAGAATAGCAAATTTATTTCCATCATGAAGATGTATATTTAGATATAACAATGCATTACTGAAAATGCAGACAATAACTGCATTTATTTCCATTATTAGCAGTCAAAATTAGTGATACTTCTGATATTAACATGATCTTGATGATGATAAAAATTATGATGATAATGATAATGAACAATAATAGCTAACTACAATATTAAGCCTTTACAATATACCAGGTCTAATAAAGTATTTTGCACGTGTATTTTTGCATGTTTCATAAAGTACTTCAAAATTCAGTAGTATAAGTATTATTGTTGTCTCTGTATTATAAATGACGTGGCTAAAGTTTTAAATATTAAGTTACTTGCTCAAATTTACAAAACTATTAATTAGCTGACCTAGAATTAGTATCTCAATGCATCTCACTCCAGAGCCCATGATCTTAACTGTTGTATTAGATGACTCCCAAACTACACACATATATTTTGTTTTGGAATTAAAGTCAAAGGTAGAATGTGTTTATTGAGTTAATTTCTACTGAGGACATTTTTATTTCACATAAGTGTAAGATTGTTGTTCACTCTGTATTGGCCTGACTAATAGTTACTATTCAAATAAATTTACTTTAGAAACACATTTGACGTATATAAATATGGCTAAGAGGAAAGTAAAACTTCTTGGTCCCCTTAGCATAACTATATATATGTGGCAAATTATTATGAAGATGCATCATAATGTTTATTTTCTGCCTTTCAATAAATTTGGTAATTAATTATTAATGCAGCATGTTTTCTTACATAGAAATTTCTCTACTATAATTTGACTTTGTCAATTTACTCTTAAGAACAAGTAATGCATTTGTTAATATGCCAAACTTCTACCCAATATATACTTCTTAAATAGTTTTTTATTTAATACACCACATGCCCTATCAATAAATACGTAAAACATAGAGTAAAGGTATATCACTATAAAGTACACTTAATATCGTGTTACAGGAAGTAGGAACTCAATATTATCTCATAAAGGAAAACTTTCTCTGTGATATGTATTGCCAACTTTAAAAAATACATCAGAGAAAACTATCTCCAAATATGTTGAGTGTACTCAGGAATGAGAAATAAGGATTATAATCCAGAATTCACAGAATGGCAACCCACTAGTGCATTGGGTGAGAGAAGGGTAAAGAGAAGATTAGCAAAGAGGGAGAGGCTGCCATTCCTGGGCAAGTGTTCTTTTGAGGGTGTCTCATCTGAATTACTGCAGCCTTAAGAACGTGCAGTGATATACCTTTCCAATGTGGGAAGTGGCATGCAGGATGTGAAAGGGCTTATTGAGTTTTTCTGAGAAAGTTCTTGGAAATCGTTCCTATCCCAGACATGTACGCATTCTTATCTCAGGCTTGCGCCTTCCTGGCCCTGTTTCGTCTGGGTCTGAGTAAAGCGATTTCATCATGGTATCTGCAAATTATATAGTATATTCTCAAGTTTGAATTGCTTTTTGTTTTTATTTATTATAAAAATACATTTATTTACACTGGGCATGGTGGCTCACATCTGTAATCCCAGCACTTCGGAAGGCCAAAGCAGGAGGATGGCTTGAGGCCAGGAGTTTGAGACCAGCATGGCCAACATAGTGAGACTCTGTGTCTCTTTAAAAAATTTATAGAATAAAATAAAAATAAAGTCAATTATAGTTTTTATAATAACTAAAGACAGAAAAAAACTAAATTTGAATGTGTATAAACTAATTGTATGTACATATGATATATAGGTTGACTTGAAATTTATGGATGTATAGACATGGCTCAAAAATGTTTTTAAAAACAAGTAAAAAAAA
Organism: Homo sapiens; assembly: GCF_000001405.40. Lineage (NCBI taxonomy): Eukaryota > Metazoa > Chordata > Mammalia > Primates > Hominidae > Homo > Homo sapiens. Next base: position 116,386,258 of record NC_000004.12, read on the forward strand.
TATTCCAAGTATGGACAAATTGCCCAGGCAAAATTGTTTAAAGAATATCTGTCTCTGAATGGAATGGAGTTGGCTGGGAAGGAGGATAAAAAAAAATTCCAGGATGATGAAAATATTCTGTAACTTAATGGAGCTGTGAGTATATGCGTCTGTCAAAACTCACAAAATATAAATGTAAAATATTTGAATTATATTTGTATGAATTTTACCAAAAGTTCTGTAAACAAAAACTAAATATGTAAAAATATTAACTAAATAGGGGAAATATATCTGGGGTGTAAGCTTAAGAAATTAATATTTTAATATATTTGTTTTCTATTCTATTTAAATGATCACATGTGATTTTTACAATCAAAGAATAAAATAAACCTGATCAAAATAGTCAAACAATATGCACCACCTGGAGAAAGTTCTTAATTTTTATAATGAGTATTTATAAAAACTATTTATAATAAAATATTCATTAATTGCTATTGTTCAATTGTCCCCTCCAAAACTCATTTTGAAACTTAACTGTCAGTGTAAGAGTGTCAGAAGGGCCTTTAAAAGGTGAATAGGTCATGAAGACTCTCTCTTCATGAATGTATTAATGCTATTATCAGGGTGTGACTTTTTATGGAATTGGGCTCCTGATTAAAAAGGATGAATTTGACCCAATTTATTCTCTCTTTGTCTTTCTCTCTTTCTCACTCATGCTTTCTCACCATGTGAAAGTTTCCACCATGTTATGATGTAGCAAGAAGGCTCTCACAACCAGATGTATCCCCTCAACCTTGGACTTTCCAACCTTCAGAACCACGGAGCCAAATAAATCTCTTTTCTTTATAAATGACTCAATCTGTGGTATTCTGTTACAGCAGCAGAAAATAGATTAAGATATTAATGTTTTCAAGTTCATAAGAATTAAAATGAAGCATTTCATTTAACATATAGTTTCTGGCCAAGTTTCATATATCCCTTTGATATTATTTTAACAGTTGTTTATTGAAGGTCTTCATATTATTTAACATATTTGAATAACATATTAATCACGGAACACAGAATTTTATTCATATTTTAAACATACATTTTTAAATCGTATAGCAGAAAGGGAATACATAGTCAGCATGACTATTTATGGTTGAGTTTGCTGTGTGATTTATACTAATTTTGCAAGATATTCAAAAACAAAACTTCTGAAAGTGTTTCAAGCAAGAGCAAGCTAAATTGATTTTGAAGGAAATCACTCAGAAAAATAATTAGGATGCTTATTATTTTCTGATGTGTTTTCTAAAGGATACATTTCATTTATTAACATTCAGTACATATGTATGTTTACAGATTGCTTCATTTATAGTAATCAAGTTTTTAAACCTCATAATTTTGATAGATAGACAAGAACTTTCCTTTTTTCTAGTTTGTACACCTATTGACATACTTCATTATTAGCTTCTAATTGGTTTTGATTTTGCATAGCTGTGAAACTTATTTAAATATGTTCATTATTTTCCTGCCAGGAGAAACAAAATTTAATTTAATTAGAGGTCACTACACTTCCAGATTGAGTTAATTAAAGATCTAATCAAGCCTCCTAGGAATAAGTAGATTGTCAGTTGGGGAAAATCATCACAGGCAAAACTCTAAAATCTACATTAAGGTTAATAGTTTTTTCAACTAAAACTTCATGTTTCTTGGCTTCTTCCAACTCTATAGCCTCTTTAAATACTGAAATGAATGTCAAAAAACTTGCATCTGATTAATGTTCCCTAGTCACATTAAATACAACTTTATCAAGTCTTCCAAAAACAAGCAGGATTTATGTCTTCAATGTGTAGGGACCAAGAGAAAACTTCTCCTTGCCAAAAGAGCAGTAGCATCGCCATCTTGGACAAACACCACCATTTTAGGGACCCCTAAATCCAGCCCCAAAACATCAGCCTAATGGCTAATGACAACATGCCCATGAATCACAAGTGACATCTCTGACCAGAAACATTCCAACCGTGAGATAAACCCCCCTCCAACCAGAAATATGCCAACCCTGAGATAACCTCTCCTCCAACCAGAGACATTTCAATCCCACAATAAAACTCTCCTCCACACAGAAACATTCTGAGCCTGAGATAAGCTCACCCTCCCTAAACCCTTCAATACCCTTAGTCTGTAAGAGAGAAGGCCAGAAGCCCCTTTCATGTTTATTCTCCAAAATAAACCTGTTGAGCCCCTTTGACTGTTGAGCCCCTTTTTGTGTTTCTTTCTTCTTTTTTTAACTCTTACACTTCCACCCTCTGAAGGTTCATTAAAAATTAACTGACAAATGGCAGATTAATAGGACAAAAGGCAGATAAATGTATTCATGTACGTGAGAGGGTGAGAATCAGGGAGTGATTACCCTACCACCCAGTGAGTTGCAGATGCTTATAAACCCTTCTTATTCATGGAAAGAGAGATGGGGAAGTGTGAATAACTTTAGGAGGATAGTACATGATTTTTAGAGGAATTCAATGGACTTGAAGAACACACATCGGCCTGGGACAAAGTCTATTGGACCAGCAGAGCAGACAGTGATGTGAGACAGAAATCTTTCCAGGTGTGTTGACAAACTTCTGTCTTTTTCCTGTGATAAATGTTCAATTAATGGAAACTCACGATAGGGAACAGAGATACTTGTTTTCTTATTTGGATGATCCAGATTTTAACCAGATAAGAGAACTTAAGAGAAAAACTTCATCCTGTGCTTTGACTGAGAAGGACTGAGAGACTGGGTGGGGAAGGGAAGGGGTGGGTGCAGGGAGAAGGTCAGAGTGATTTTGAAGCTTTTCTTCAGGTCAGCATGTCAAAGTGTCATATTTGAAGGTAATAGTTTCTGAGGCCCAAATTATAGAATAAATGATTTTTAAACTAAACCAGATAGATGTTACATTACAGAGTCTTTGAGCACTTTTATGTCTCCTGATAATAGAACAATATCAATCTCATTAATGCTAACAGTTGACACTTTACAAATGTATAATAGCCCTATTAAAAATAGTACATTTTAAATTTCATCTTCAATTCTATTTATGGGGTGCTGAGTCCGTGGGGAAATTTTAGGAAATGATGTAAAATACATGACTCACTTATACCACTGAATGGTAGAGTGAGGGAGCATACAATGCATACAAAACTTCTTTTCAGGGGTGTTTAGGGCTGCTGGGATGTGAAGTGGTTAGTATCTTGATATTTCAGATCTGTTGTTCAGGCTTAACAAAACGTTCTTTCAAAGCTTTGTTAAATGCCCTCAGATAAACAGGTGTCAGTGCTGGTGGTCAGAAACTAACAAGACAGAGAAGGAAGAAGGCTGGGCACCAACAGTATCTGTTCTACCATTATTTTGAAAAAGGGATAGGGTTAGGGATATCAACATGATTATTACCGATATATTCTATATCTTTCTGCGATTGTTAATTGTATGTGTCAACTTCAGTGGACTAGCAGTGTCCAGATTAAACATTGTTTTCTGTGAGACTGTGAGGTGTTTCCAGATGAGATTAGGATTTGAATCAGTGTACTCAGTAACTTAAATTGCTCTCACTAAAGTGGTTTAACATCAGTCAATCTTTTTAGGGCCTGAATAGAACACAAGGCAGAGAACAGAGTAATTTGCCTTTTTGTTTGTTTGGTTTTGCCCATATTGTGTAAATTGAGCTAGACATCTAATCTCATCTTTTTTTGCCTTTGGACTGAGATTTACATCATCACTTCTTCTGGATCTCAGGCCTTTGGACTCAAACTGAATTATACTTTGGCTTTCCTGAGTTTCCAGCTTGCAAAGGGCATACATACTGTGAGACTTCTCAGACATAATCATATGAGCCAATTCCTCATAATAAATTTTATAATTTTATATATTACGTGTGTGTGTGTGTGTGTGTGTGTGTGTGTGTGTAGGTGGGGGGGTGTTTGTGTGTCTGGAGACTGCTGAATGCTAACTAAAACAGATTTTGTTATTATTTTGTGATTATAAAGAAAGTGAATGTTAACAATGAGTTTTCTTTGGTTTTGGAGTTTTTGGTATTGGGTCTATAATCTGATTAAATTTAAAGATGCTAATTAAATTTTCAGTAGTAAAGAGAGCACTCATAGTCAATGGCTTGGTCTGGTTATAGAGATACACAAAATATCTGTGTTACATAGTCATAGATAACCCCTTGTATAAAGCAAGGAGCTTGTAATAATTTGCTGGTAACATTTTTAAATAATACTTTGTAACATTTTTGAAAAACTAATTAATATAATGATTTTGACTGCTTACTCCTAAGGTTGATGGACAAAGTGATTCAAGAAAAGGATGAGCTCAGAGATTCAAATTCCCACCCCAAATACCACCCAAGTAAGCTAAGGTCTTGTATGTGGGCCTGAAAGTAGATCCTCATCTCTTAGCTATAGAGCTAAAGTTGTTGTAAATCATAATCTCATCTTCCAACATGCTGAATAACAATGCAAGTTGAACTCCCAGCTTTGCAGTGTTTACTGTCAAAATGAGGACATTGACCGGGAAACAAGGATATCCTATGAATTGGGATGGATTTTTGTGGAAAGGCTTTGATGAAACTGGAGACACTGAGCCCCTAAATTCTGGTGAGCTTTCTTTGCCAGTGGAAGAGGTTTTCTAAACCCAGTGGAAGCAGGCACCCTGCTCTCAGTGGACTTGGCCTGTAAACTGTCAGCAGAGGTGAGCTTCCTAATCCTTGCAGGAGTAGCTTCCCCATCTGCACTGGCAGAGGCATCTCCTCCCTCCAAGTGGTTGAAGTCTCTTCTCCCACTGCAGTATTGGCCTGTCCACTTCCACCTGATGGGATTAACCCTGCATTGCCTGAAGAAACTATAAGGGCATCCCCTGAGGCAGTGTTCATGCAAGACAACGTTGATTGCCTGGACCCACCTCCATCACCTCTCTTTGCTTTTAGATCTATATCTAGAATCAGGGCCATGCAGGCACCTAAAAGGGAAGTGCAATGTGAAACCCATGAGGAGGTGCACTGCACTCCAAAAGAACGACTTGAGTTTCTAATTTATACAAATGGAAATCAGAAAACATTTTTTAGAAATTGATGCTGAGGGTGTGGGATAATGGTGAAAGAAACAGAAAATTGAATAAGGCTGAATTTATGGACTTTGTCTCAATAAGCAAAGATTCATCTGCATTTAATGTTGCATACTGGGGGTTAGAAAGGGCTTTAAGAGTTTGTTTCCTTAAGAATAGTTTTTGCATAGGCAATCATATCATTTGCCAATAATGACAGTTACTTTTGTTTCTATTTCTTTTTTCCATTTTATTATTTTTTCCTAGTCTTATTGCACTAGATAAGATCTGTAGTGAAATGATGAATATAATTTGGAAGAGCAAACATCCTTTTCTTATGCCTGATCTTAATGAAAAGATATTCTGTCTTTCATCATTAACTTCTAGATTTTTCATGTGCATCCTTTATCAGGCTCAACAAGTTTTCTTCTATTTCTGGTTAGCTGAGAATTTTTATCGAAATTGTCCTGAATTTCACCAAAAATTTTTTGCATGTATTGAATTGATGCTACAGGTTTTGTGAGGTACCTTGATTAATTTTTAAATGTTTAACATTTAATTCTTACGTTAAACCATATTTGATCTCATTGCTTATAATGTTCATTATATATTATTGGATTTCAATTGTCAAAATTTTTTGAGGTTTAATTTTATCTATGTTTTTAAGGAAGAAACACTGATCTGCAATTTCTTTTTCTTATAATGATTTTTCTGGTTTTAGTATCAGGGTAATGATGGTCTTATAAAATGAACCAGCAAGTGATATTTCTCTTATTATCTTGAAGAATTAGTGTAGAATAGGTGTTATTTATTTTTGAAATATTTGGTAGATCTGGTCAGTATAGTCAGCTCAGTCTGGCACGATGGAGTGAGGGGGTGGTCAGAAGGAAGTTTACATTAAAATAATATCATAACACTTTATATTAGTGAAAAAATATACTTCTATTTTCTCCTCCTGTCCTTTCAATCCTGCCTTATATTTTATTTTTACATGCATTATAAATTTCATACCACATCGTTTATTTTATTCAAAACAAAGATAAAAAATGAGAAAAAAACATCCTATACAATCAAATGCTAGCATTTAAAGTATGTAATTTGATAAGATTGACATATGTATATTCCCATGAAATCATCCCCAATTAAGATGGCAACAATTTCTATCACTTCCGAAAGTTTTCTTGTATCCCTTTGTAATCCATTTATTTTTCCAACTTCATTCCTAGAGAATAACTTATTTGCTTCTTTTAACAACAGGTTAATTCTATTTGCTCAAATTTTATGCAATAGAGACATGTAGTCTGTAGTCATTTCTTCCAGAATATATATATATATTTCACTCAGAATATATAGGTTTAAATAATAAGTATTATTATATGAATATTTACATATATATTATATATAATAAATATAATATATAAATTATATAAAATAAATATAATATATAAATTATATAATGCATAATACAATATAAAATATATTTTTTAATATGTAATGTAAGTTATATATTATTTATATCTAGATTGATTTAAGGCTTTGGCTTTTATAAGTAAAGCTAATATTAACAATTGTGTGCAAGTTTTGGATGGATAAATGGCTTCATTTATCTTTAGGTAAATATCTAAGAGTAGACATATACTTTAAATTTCATAGGAGTTCACTAAAGTGTTTTCCCAAGTGGTTGTGCTATTTTACAGCAGTGTATGAGGGTTCTAGTTCCTCCAAATCTTTGCCAACACTGGGCATCATTAGCCTTTTTTATGTTAGTCATTCCAGTATACATGCAGTGATTTAATGCTGTGGACTTCATTTGCAAGTTCCTAAAGACTAATAATGCCAAATGTTTTCTTAATGTGCTTATTTCCCATTCATACATCTTCTTTGGTGAGATACCAGTTCATATCCTTTGCCTTTTTGAAAAAAAAGTGTCTTCTGCTACTGGATAACAGTCCATTATCAGATACATTATTTGCAAATATTTTCTCATCCTTGGTGTTTTTTAATTCTATCCTTATTTCTTTAGAGATGTAAAAGTTTCACTTTGAGAACAGCTAATTTATAACATTTTTAACAGTTCTTTTCTGTAGTTTTATCGAAACTTGTTGCCTGACTCAAGGTCTAGAAGATTTTCTCTTGTTTTCTACTGGAATTTTTATAGACTTACCTATTACGTTTAGTTCTATTATCCATTTTGAATTAATTTTAATTGTGTATAAAATGTAGAGATTAAGGTTTTTGTTTTCATTTTAGTTTGGTTTCAATATTTTGCTTTTAATAAAATTTAAGAGGTACTAATTTAATTGTTAGCTAAGAAATTATCGTATCACTTAAGATCTTGTTAGTCAAGTAGCTTATGCATGATGGACCAACATGAGATCCACTTACCCAGACATGGTGAAAACGGCTGAAATGCCGCTAAGAAGATAGCAAAACCACCTGGAGATTAACCACATCAGGATGCTGTTCCCTGGGAGGAAGGGATTGTTGCCTCCAAAGTTGAAAAGCTGAGGCCTCCAGGCACAAACAAAAATGTCCACAAGAGGCAGAAAGTAGGCTCTTTGTAGTATGAACTGGATCAATAGTTCAGCCCCTGACAAAAAAGTTGACCAAACCAGATAACAAGGCTGAAAAATATCTAATATTTTCCCTTCCTTGCATTTTGTTTCATTAGATATAAAAAAAACTACTATTTCCTGATCTAAGCAATAATATTAAATTACTAAATTTTTATAAGAAATATAAAATAGTCAACTAATATCATTTATAATTATTTCAACCCAAAGCATTCATGTTAACATGAACTCAGAGGCTCACATTCTATGTCAGAATCTTGTTTTGTAAGAGCTCCTGACTAGACTTTAAACAGCACAAAATTTGGTAAAAACACTCTATAAAATAAAAATAGTTCATTTCAATTCTATTTTTTAAATAAAGATGTAAAATATAATAAATTTTTTAACAAAATAGTTACCACATCACAATAACCCAGTTACACTTATCTCTAAATATTTCATTTTGAGGCTGTTATAAATAAAATTCTTTTCTTAATTTCATTTTTGCATCATTATGCTAATTTTAATTATTGAAAGTACAATGTTTTCATAGTTGAGCAAATTTTAGTAGTCTGTCAATAAATAATATATAACCCATATAACATAAATTTAAAGGTAGATATCATTTTAAAATAGTAAAGATCTGAATTGAATAAGCTTTATGTAACCTCATCCATAGTTCTGAGTAATGCTTTCTACATGTATTCAAGATGAAACCAATGGGCAAACTATTTCATTTGAATGTGTGGATAAACCAATAAATATGTATGTGTATGCATATGTGTATTTGTATGCAATTACAGAATGATCAGTATAAATACAAATTTTACTAAGGAGCTCAAAGAAAAAAATTACTTTAATTTATTGGTCCATTTGTGATATGTCCTAGGCACTTGATTAAAAATTTAATTTTGCTTTATAGGGAGATAATTAATTCTATTAAATTTATACATGTATATCATAGAGAGACATTACATTTTCTAGATGAAAAAAGTAATCAGGAATGTTCTATTTAATATGTTGAAGGAGAATAACATTTGTTTATGATAAGGCTCAAATATCTTAGATTTTATATTTACCTTTTTAAACATTTTAAATATATATAACATTGGAAAATACAGTTAATTCAATAGTGATCATTTAAATATAACCATTATTCATTTTAACTTTAAACAGAAAAAATACTTTATAAAGTGAATATATTTTTAGCCTGATGAAACAATTAGCCCCTGTATGTGATACTTGAATTATTAGAAACTCATTAGATTTTAAAAAATGTATTTGCTTAATTATGATTGGTGCCATATCATTAGGCAAACATCAAACATTAAGAAAGAAACTACTGCTGTTAATTGGACAGCCAGTTTTTCTCAAATTACTATAATGAACAAGGAAAGATCCACATCAAGGGTTCCTCCCCTTTTTAGACCAGATAGTGTAACTTCCTGATGTTGCCATGGCGTTTGTAAACTGTCCTGGCATTGGTGGGAGGGTCTTTTAGCATGCGAATGCATTATAATTAGCATATAATGAGCAGTGAGGGAGACCATAGGTCACTTCCGTCACCGTCTTGGTTTTGGTGGGTTATGGTTGGCTTCTTTACCACAACCTGTTTTATCAGCAAGATCTCTATGACCTGTATCTTGTTCTGACCTCCTATCTCATCCTATAACTAAGAATGCCTTAACTTTCTGGGAATGCAGCACAGTAGGTCTCAGTTTTATTCTACCCAGCCCTTATTGAATATGGAGTCGCTCTTGTTTGAATACCTCTGAAATTTATAAGCTTTGATCTGTATACTAAATCAAAGAGTGCTAGCATATCAATCAGTATTTTTAATGAATAGACAAATACATACTATTTATAAATAATACAGGGTCACTTTTCAATGATATTATGATATATACAAAAAATATAAATTGAAAAAGTTGTCCTAAAAATAGATACAACAAAGACATTCTTCAATTGTTTTGGGGATTAGAAACCCATACCCTAAAATATTATCAGAATTATTATTTTTCTGATAATTTTTTCAAATGATTTTTTCATTCCTTCAGAATGTAGTGTACATGTACAGTCTTTACCATTCATGCCTCCGTCACTAAGATAGTGTATCCTCATATCCTTAGGTAATTACTTTATGTGAATATTCCTTATCAATAGCTGGATTATATGATCCTTAAAGATACTGACAATTTTCTATGACTTTACGTGTAAGTGCCCAATGGGTTCACCTTGCCTGCTTTCTAGATAGAGCCAATTTACCAAGACAGAGACAGCTGTGTGCTGTGCAGGAGATGAGAGTTTTATTATTACTCAAATTAGTCTGCCCAAACATTTGGGGATCAGAGTTTTTAAGGACAACTTGGTGGGTGGGGCGAGAGTGCTGATCCGTAGGGTCAGGGATGAAATCACAGGAACGTGAGCTGTCTTCTTGTGCTGACTCACTTCCTGGGTGGCGGCCACAAGATCAGAGGAGCCAGCTTATAGATCTGAGTAGGGCCAGCTGATCCTGTCAAGCGGAGGGTCTGCAAAATATCTCAAGCACTGATCTGATATATATATATATATATATATATATATATATATATATATGTATATGTATATATGTATATATATGTATATAATATATAATACATTGTATATGTATTGTGTGTGTGTGTGTATATATATATATATATATAGTATGTTTATATAATAGCAATGTTATCCCCAGCAGCAATTTCGGGAAGGCCAAAATCTTGTAGCCTCCAGCTAAATAAATCCTAAATCATATTTTCTAATATTGTGGCTAATTTGTTAGTCCTACAAAGGCAGTCTAGTCCTCAGGCAAGAAGGGGGTTTCTTTTCAGAAAGAGCTTTTATTGCCTTTGTTGTAAACTATAAACTATAAACAAAGTTTCTCCAAAAGTTAGTTTGTCTATGCCCAGGAAAGAACAAGGACAGCTTGGAGAAAAGAAGCAAGATGGAGTTGGTTAGATCAGATCTCTTTCACTGCCTCAGTTACAGTTTTGCAAAAGGCGGTTTCATACATAGGAAGAAATGTGATAAACACATAAAAAATAAATATACATAGAGGTAGTCCCTTAGTTCTTTTAGTGTAGGGGCCCAAGTGTAGGGGCCAAGGGAAAATTTCCTTTTTGCCCTCTGAAGCCTGGCTGAAAAATCAAAAGACAAAAAGGCAGATTAATAAGAGAAAAGGCATACAATATATTTGAATGTGCATAACAAGGGAAATTGCAAAAGAATAATTACTCAATAGCCCAACAAGTGCAGAAGCTTATATAATCTTCTTCATAGGCGAAGGATGTAAGGAGACAGGAGGCAGACATTACAGAAATGTGAGGGGCATAGCTGTACAGGAGCATTATGTATATAAATTCCTCCAAGTAATCTCTTGGAGCTGTCTTCAGAAGAACAGATGAAAAGTCTATCTGAGGGATGACTGGGGATAACTCCTAGTATTTTTCTCTTCTCTGGTAGTTGATCTTTCCTAGTTATTTGAAACAGTTGTATTTCTTTTGAAAAGAGGCTTTCTTGGTCATATAAGGAAATTTCAGAGCTACTTCTCCTTGCACTTTGGGTGGGAGAGGGAAATAAGGCAGGGTTTGAGGGATGTTGATTCTGAGACAGCATCTAAAGCCTCTTAGCATGTCAAAGCCCCAGTCTTTGGAGTATCACTTTCTGAGCCCCAACAGAGAAAAATCACCATGAGGAACAACACTAAATGGCATATCTAAAAGAGACAAAAGTTTAAGGTATAGATGATTATTTGGCAAACAAGTAGTGATAGATTATTAACATCATTTAATAAAAGTAGACTTAATTCATATAAAGTCCTTCAGTATCTTGCACAATATGATGGGAAGAAGAAAGTATTTTTTCCCCATGTCTAAAATTTATTTAATACTTTTTCCTTATAATTATATGTCCTTCTGGAAGAAAATGCTTAGAAGCAGTTACTATAAAACAGTTATTATTGACTCCTGCTATTAATATGTCATGGAGGCAAATGTAAAGAAGAAAGAATATTTGTTAGGTTATTTTTTAATTTTATTTTCCTAAGTCAGCATTTTTGGAAGTATCTTTAGGATTATTTAATTAGAAATATTATTTTTCTTAGGACCTAATATAAAGACACTGGATTTATTCTCGTGTTATTAAATGCGTATACCAAGAAACATTTTAATATGCAAATTAGAAACAATGCTATATGTCTAGCATCGAATTACACATTTTGTAATTTTTATATAATTTAATCTTTAAAAATGCAATTACCACAAAAGTAGACAGTGGCCATTTTTATTCCAATTTTCTAGATGAGGAAATTAGTGTTGAGGGGCAAATGAAAAGCTTTATAGCTGTTTGAACTCAGATCAGAACCGTTTTTTTTTAAACTTCAAATCTTTGCTCTTTCTATTGTATAATACTGCTTCCAGTAGACATATTAATATATGTCTGTTGGTGAATGCATTTGGGCAGGAAGAACTACTACATTTAAGATAATATTTTATTCTTAAATGTTTCTCAGGAATTTTAAAGATATGCATAATTTTCAGACAGCATTTATGTTATTCATATTTGAGCAGTTATTATCAGCTTTCTTAGTTACAATTTACTGGGCACTACCATCATAATATTTTGTCAGAGAAAAATTGTTCTGTTAACTAAAAAGTAATTTTACTGTCAATAAGCAATAGGTGACACAGCCAATATTTATTTTATTCTACTTTAAATTTAGAAGTGAAAACTTATTTTCCCAAAGGAATGTCTTCTTGAAAAGTGTGTTTTCATTTTAAAAATTACATTTGTACCTAAGATATTAATGTGGAAATCATGATATTAAATAACAGTTCTAAAATTGTAATGGGGATTATGATTTCATAAGAAGAAAATTATTTATGGAGGTAACGTTATTGTATAATTTCCTATGGGATCTCTACATCAGGGCTGGTTTTATTAGATCCTAAAACAAGTCACCTACATTCACTTTAGGATATAAAGTAATGTTAAATTAATATTGCAAAGCAGTTCACAGTGTGAGCAAAGACATCTGTTTATGTTACCATAAATAGTTATGAACTGAGGAGCTCAAATGGCTTTGCCAGCAAAGCATTGCCTCCTAATTTATTTTTATAGAAAATGGAAGCCTCATTTTTCATGATTGGGTAGTTTGCATTCAAATGTACAAGTAACTTCAAATGCAATCACTTTTACACAGCATGTTTTATTGCAGAGCCATAGGATGAAATTGCTAATGGTCTCTTGTGGGGTAGTCATGTTCTCCGATGAAAATTTTATTTTATTTCATAATATTTTTAAACTTAATTTCAAAATTGAGATTCACTTCTTTAGAAAACAATGTAATAAATGTAAAATTAAGAAGGCTTTAATATAATGTTGATGTGTAGAGTCGAAAATGAAAATATGAATGTTCTGTCTAAGAATCTTGGAATTCTGCAAGTTCATTCTTGAGTGCTGAAACTGAAGCTTTTTCTATAGGTTTTTTTGTTTTGTTTGTTTGTTTGTTTTTGTTTTTTTAGACACAGTCTCGCTTTATCACCCAGGCTGGAGCGCAGTGGAACGACACGGTTCACTGCAACCTCCGCCTCCCAGGTTCAAGCAATTCTCTTTCCTCAGTCTCCCATGTAGCTGGGATTACAGACACCCACCACCAAGCCCAGCTAATTTTTGTACTTTTAGTAGAGACAGGGTTTCCCCATGTTGGCCAGGCTGGTCTTGAACTCCTGACCTCAGGTGATCCACCCGCCTCGGCCTCCCAAAATGTTGGGATTACAGGCGTGAGCCGCTGCGCTTGGCTGGATTTTTTTTTTTTTAACAAAGAAAGTGGGAAATCTAAACTATTAAAAATATCTGAATTATTAAAATGTTACAGAGAGAAAATTTTCTGTGAATAAAACATTTTAAATGATTGTTTTGCTGATTGAATATAATAACAGAAAACAGCACAAGTATTATATTTCCAGACATGCAACCTTAAATTTTGAAAAAGTTAATTCTTAATTTTTAGAAAGCAGAGATTGTAAATTTACATGGATATTTCTATTTATCCTAATGGACATAAAATATAAATAAAATATTTTTAACTCTAAATGTATGGCATTTATGCAAAATAATACTTGTTCACATGAAGAATTATATCTAAATATTTATAAACATTTTAAGAAGAAATGACTCAGTAATTTCACGTAAAATTACTTGTATGTGTAATTGTAAAAAGTATAAGCATTGTTCCCTCATCATTTGACTATTATAAATGTTAAAACAAATAAGCAGGAGACCCTTAACCTGAGATTATCTATGTATTTTGAGTTCCTACATAACAAACTGCAATCTGACAGTATGCAAAAAAAAAACCAAAAACCTAATTTAGGAGTCTATATTTTATTAACAAAAGCTGGGTTTTAGCCAATTACGAATAGCTGGGCTTCAGTCAATCACACGCAGCCAAGTAATCAGACTATACTCAAATAAGGCAAATGCCTCATTACTCTATTCCCAAATAGGCAAACATCTAGCTATAGCCAACCATGTGATAAAAGTTTACTACACATATTACTCGGTGAATCTCTCCGAACCGCTCTGAGTGCTGCTTGATTCATAAATTGTTCCTTATTCAAACTCTGCTAAGTTTAATTTGTCTAAAGTTTCTATATGTATAAAACATATTTACATATTTTATATTAATATACATATTAATACTATATGTATTCTATATGTAAAAAATACATATGTATGATTTTTTGAGACAGGGTCTCACTCTGTCACTCAGGCTGGAGTGCAGTGATGCAATCATGACTCACAGCAGCCGCAAACTCCCAAGCTCAAGTGAATCTCTCATTTCAGCCTCCTAATTAGCTGGAACTACAGATGTGCAGCACCAGGCCCAACTAATTTTTTTCAAAAATTTTGGAAGAGACAGGTTCTCTCTGTGTTGCCCAGACTGGTCTTGAACTCCTGGGCACAAGTGATACTCCTGCTTCTGCCTTCCAAAGTGCTGGGGTTGCAGGTGTGAGCCACCATGCCTGGTCTTGAAAAATACAATATGTATTTGAGAAAAAAGGAAACAATACAATGATATTTAGCAGGTCAAGCATAATATTCATTGTTATTCTTCCTATCACGAAGTATATAATTAGTATGTTGACAGATTGAGTATTAAGTACTACACATTTTAGGATTTTTAATATCACAAGTTTGTGAGAACATGACAATTTTCACATACTACAGGTGAGAAAACTGAAGCTTGAACATAAAAGAATATATATATATATTTCTCAATTTATATATGTGTATTATTTAGGATTCAGACATGGAAGCAGAACTACCAAGAATATTATGATATAAGAGTTATAGGAGTTAGACTTTAATCATTTTGGAGACGGTTAAAACACATATCGAAGGCTGTTTTCTCTGTATTTGGTGGGACTTCTGAAATCTATGAAAGTCAGAAGAGCTGATAGTCATGAAGAAAATCTAAGCATGGAAACCAAGAACATGAAAGAGGAAATTGGGGTCCATGAGGACAAACTAGGACGTTTTGTTCAGTTTGTGCTCTGTTTTTCACAGCTACCAACCTCAGTGATGCAAATGACTTGCACGTGACCTGCTCAAAGCTAAGCACAACACAAACATAGAAAGAGGGCAGTAGACACGAAGGCCTAGCTGCTCTCCTTCATTAACAAGGTGAGCCAATTAATAAGTCAACCAATAAGCTGAGTAACAATTCATGGGAGGTACGGTGCTACTTGTCTCTCTAATCTACAGAGCATAAAATTGCTTCAATATTACCTTCAAATCTCATGCAAAATGATCTTAATGGCTAATTTTACCATAAACTATGGAGAAAATATTCTGCAAAAATGTAGTTCTAGCAATGGTTAAGACAACAAACTAAAATACTGCACTCTTTTTATTCATTTTTACTTATGTCCAGACATTATGGATTTCTTACACTTTCATTTTCTACTTCTTTAAACACAAAGTTGAGATAAATCTTTCCTTTTAAACTTATAGCATTACATTTTATAGAAATTACTAAAATGAAATAGTTTGTTCAGTATTATAAACACGTTAATTTTATTGCTGAATTTTAGAATTATTACTTATCAATCAGGGAAATATAATAAAGTCAATGATCTCCTTAAATACATTATCTTTCAATATGTATCAGAAATATTTGAATGATATTTGATAACATATCTTTCACAGGAAGAGACCAAATGATGCAACTCTGGCATTTTGAATAAATAATTTCAAAAATAAAAATCACTTCATTACTTCATAATGACTGAATCCACTTTGATTCAGAAAGTTACTTTGTTATGCATGGCAAATTAATCTGGGAACTAAATCACACAAATAATATATCAACAATAATAGTTTATAATTCTTTTGTGGAGTAATATTTCTAAATCAAGAAATGTATTTATGTTTTTTCCCATGTCCAAAAAACAAGCTTTCAGATTTCACCACAGCAGACGTACAGTTTGTATTTGTAAAATTATATATTGTTTCAATAATCCATTACAATACCTATAAAGACAACACAAAATATAATAGCAGCTTTCAACGTTGGAATAAGACAAATATGAGTTATATATGTGAAAAATAAATACTAATTGTAATATCTAATGGAGTTAGATTTATAAACATACTCCTGGATAAATTGGTAATACCATTTGCATTGCCAAAGGATAAGTACCATTATAAAGATTGAGAAATTATAATATGAATTTATTGATATAAACATTAGGTTTACTTTCCAAAAATAAAAATATCACCTCTTCCACCCATTCACACCTAACCACCACACACCCACTTAACACTTATTTTTAGAGTCAGCCAACTTAATTCTACATTTATTATCATAAGTGTCTATTTACCTTCATTCATAGACTCCAAATTAAGTGAGTTCAAGTTTAGAAGAAAAACAACACACCGTGATATACTTATTTCTTTGGGGCAAATTATTTTCTTGGAAGCAAAAGCAGGAAGAGTGTATCACAAACAACGCATCATGAAAGGCTCAAACTTTCAAGTACTATTCCTTTAGAACAGAAAGACTACAAAATAATTTGCTTTACTAGGACAGGCAAAGAACCCTGTAAACTAGAATCCCGTGTAAATCTAGCAAAACTTTGCCCAGTAAATGATTTAAAATATTGAGCAAAAACTTATAAACCCTAATTTTAACAACAAACTTACATTAAAGATCAATAATTTGCCTGGTACAAAATGGAAATGGACCATATTTGAGACAATGAGACACTATGCAGACCTTTTGAAAAACTGCCCGGAAGTGTGTCTGTGTGTTTGTGTGTATGCGTGTGTGTATATCTTCAATAATGTTTCTGACCATACTACAATCAGAGGAACCAGATGTACACTCCTACCATGAACAAAAATAAAACTGTATCAAATTTTTAAAAAGGAATAATTATCCTCAGACATAGAAAATCAAATAATGGTCAGTGGTCATTGAAAGGACTGAGTTTAACAGAGAAAGACCTCTAATTTTCTGGTCTTTATGGCTGGAAAAACATTAACAGCATGGAGCCAGGAGGAATATCCCAAGCAGTAGTCTTGCTGAGTCTTCAAGATAGTGACCCAATTTTAGGAGAGATCATTGCATGTCTGCAAATTTCAGGGCAGAGGTGCAGAGAAGAGGGAGATTCAGGAAAAGAGCTCCACTAGTTGATATGAAATTCTGTTAAAAAAATTTCTTTTGAACACTATGACAAACAAATGTGAAAAACACCACAAATTTTGATAAAAAATGACCTTTTGAGAGTTTCTCCATAGCTTGAATGTAACTGATTTTCAATAAGCCACAAGAAAATTCAGTACTACTCTGTGACAGCCATGTCTTAATATTAGGGCCAATGTTCAGTAATATATAGTGTATTCTAGGCATTTCTTAACAAAGCTTAAAATAAGAAAGAAAGCCTAATATTCTTTAAAAAGAGACATATATCCAGACATTTTATAAGATAAAATTAAATACATACGCTACCCAAATACTAATAAATGTGCCAAAAAGCAGGAACATGCAATCATACATAAAAGAAAATAATATCAGTCAACAGAAAAAGATCCAGAGATGATAGAAACAATACAATATTTTTGGAAAGATATTAAAACTGATATTATAGTTATGTTCAAATAGGAAAGAAAAAGCCTAAACATTGTGAGAAGAAAAATGGAAAATATAAAAAAGAAACTTAAAGGATGAAAACTATAGTATCAAAATGTAAAAAAAAAAAATCACTAGGAGTTATGGTAAATTCAATATTGTAGAAGAAAATCTTACAGAATTTGAAGACATAATAAAAACTAGGGAAGTGAAGCACAGTGAGGAAAAAAGAAAGTATTAACTAATTATTGGTTCCTACGGGATAATAACAAGTTTATAGGGAATACAGAAGGAGAGAGGTTGGAAAGCATAAATATTTAAAGACATTATGGACGAGCTTTTACTAGATTTAATGAAGTTATAAACCCACATATCTAGGGACCTAAAAAAACCCCAAGTAATATAAACACATAGAAAACAATAATAAGTCACATCATAATCAAATTCCAGAAACCTATAATAAAAGGAAAATATCAACACACAAAATACACACTGTATATGGATGAACAAAAAGACACTCTATAACAGACTTCCCTTCAGAAACTATGTAATTTAAAAAATGATGAAATGCTTCAATTCTTCAAACGCTAAAAACAAAAAAAATCCTTACCCAAGAATTACAGGGCTGCCCGTCCTAGCTCTCACCTGTAATTTCAGAACTTTGGGAGGAAGAGGTGGATGATTGCTTGAGCCCAGGAGTTCAAGGCTAGCTCTGGCAACATAGAGAGATCCTGCCTCTGTAAAAATAAAATAAAATTAAATTAAACTAAATTAAAATTAAAATTTTAAAAAAGAGTTCTACACACGGTAAAAAAAAAAATCTCCCAAAAATGAGGCTTAAATTAAAAAAAAAAATTATGGCCAAAGCAAAGCTGAGACACTTGAAGTCAGCACACCTGCACTGAAAATAAGTTAAAGTTTTACCATCAGAAGTAAAACAATGCTGGAGGAAAAGCAGCGATGAGGAAATAGTATATATATATGAGCATTTTTAAAACTTTATGTTTCATTTATATTCTTATTAAAAATAATTGACTGTTTCAAGTAATATAATAAAAATGAACTGTAGGTTTATGATATATTTAGAAATAAATGCTGTAAACACACATATGGGAGTCAAAAAAAGAAAAGTATATATTTTTGATATTCCATATATTATACTTAAAGTAGTTACATTATTTTATGTAGCTTTTAATAAATTAATTGAATTACATTTAAAGGAATATTTTTCAAATTTATTTAGATGCAGCTACAGAAGAGCACAGAATATAATTCATAGCTTTAAATGTTTTAATTATATATAAAAATAAATACAGTCCTGAATTTAATGATCTAAAATACTAGTGGGAAAGCAAATAATAATAATAATAATAATAATAATAATTATAATGATTATAATGAAAATTTTAAAAACCCTGAACTGATTTTTGAAAAGATCCATGCAATTAATATATTTATTCCTAGGCTGATCAAAAAACAAACAAGAAAGAAACACAAAAAACCAATAGCATAAATGAAAAGTAAAGGGAACTATAAATCCCATGGACATCAAATAATAATGATAAAATTAACATTTTGCAAATAAAGTTAACCATTTTGATAGAACAGACCAACTATTTTAAAGAAATAAATTATCAAAACAGATTTACCAAGAATTAGTTTTATTTCCATAGAAAATAATTGTCCCGGGGGAGGAGCCAAGATGGCCGAATAGGAACAGCTCCGGTCTACAGCTCCCAGCGTGAGCGACGCAGAAGACAGGTGATTTCTGCATTTCCATCTGAGGTACCGGGTTCATCTCACTAGGGAGTGCCAGACAGTGGGCGCAGGTCAGTGGGTGCGTGCACCATGAGCGAGCCGAAGCAGGGTGAGGCATTGCCTCACTCGGGAAGTGCAAGGGGTCAGGGAGTTCCCTTTCCTAGTCAAAGAACGGGGTGACAGACGGCACCTGGAAAATCGGGTCACTCCCACCCGAATACTGCGCTTTTCCGACGGGCTTAAAAAACGGCGCATCACGAGATTATATCCTGCACCTGGCTCGGAGGGTCCTACGCCCAGGGAGTCTCGCTGATTGCTAGCACAGCAGTCTGAGATCAAACTGCAAGGCAGCAGCGAGGCTGGGGGAGGGGCGCCCACCATTGCCCAGGCTTGCTTAGGTAAACAAAGCAGCCGGGAAGCTCGAACTGGGTGGAGCCCACCACAGCTCAAGGAGGCCTGCCTGCCTCTGTAGGCTCCATCTCTGGGGGCAGGGCACAGACAAACAAAAAGACAGCAGTAACCTCTGCAGACTTAAATGTCCCTGTCTGACAGCTTTGAAGAGAGCAGTGGTTCTCCCAGTACGCAGCTGGAGATCTGAGAATGGGCAGACTGCCTCCTCAAGTGGGTCCCTGACCTCTGACCCCTGACCTCCGAGCAGCCTAACTGGGAGGCACCCCCCAGCAGGGGCACACTGACACCTCACACTGCAGGGTACTCCAACAGACCTGCAGCTGAGGGTCCTGTCTGTTAGAAGGAAAACTAGCAAACAGAAAGGACATCCACACCAAAAACCCATCTGTACATCACCATCATCAAAGACCAAAAGTAGATAAAACCACAAAGATGGGGAAAAAACAGAGCAGAAAAACTGGAAACTCTAAAAAGCAGAGCACCTCTCCTCCTCCAAAGGAACGCAGTTCCTCACCAGCAACGGAACAAAGCTGGACAGAGAACGACTTT
Source organism: Homo sapiens (assembly GCF_000001405.40). Classification (NCBI taxonomy): domain Eukaryota; kingdom Metazoa; phylum Chordata; class Mammalia; order Primates; family Hominidae; genus Homo; species Homo sapiens. Next base: position 116,406,728 of record NC_000004.12, read on the forward strand.
GACGAGCTGAGAGAAGAAGCCTTCAGACGATCAAATTACTCTGAGCCACGGGAGGACATTCAAACCAAAGGCAAAGAAGTTGAAAACTTTGAAAAAAATTTAGAAGAATGTATAACTAGAATAACCAATACAGAGAAGTGCTTAAAGGAGCTGATGGAGCTGAAAACCAAGGCTCGAGAACTACGTGAAGAATGCAGAAGCCTCAGGAGCTGATGTGATCAAATGGAAGAAAGGATATCAGCAATGGAAGATGAAATGAATGAAATGAAGCGAGAAGGGAAGTTTAGAGAAAAAAGAATAAAAAGAAAGGAGCAAAGCCTCCAAGAAATATGGGACTATGTGAAAAGACCAAATCTACGTCTGATTGGTGTACCTGAAAGTGACGGGGAGAATGGAACCAAGTTGGAAAACACTCTGCAGGATATTATCCAGGAGAACTTACCCAATCTAGCAAGGCAGGCCAACATTCAGATTCAGGAAATACAGAGAACGCCACAAAGATACTCCTCGAGAAGAGCAACTCCAAGACACATAATTGTCACATTCACCAAAGTTGAAATGAAGGAAAAAATGTTAAGGGCAGCCAGAGAGAAAGGTCGGGTTACCCTCAAAGGGAAGCCCATCAGACTAACAGCAGATCTCTTGGCAGAAACCCTACAAGCCAGAAGAGAGTGGGGTCCCATATTCAACATTCTTAAAGAAAAGAATTTTCAACCCACAATTTCATATCCAGCCAAACTAAGCTTCATAAATGAAGGAGAAATAAAATACTTTACAGACAAGCAAATGCTGAGAGATTTTCTCACCACCAGGCCTGCCCTAAAAGAGCTCCTGAAGGAAGCGCTAAACATGGAAAGGAACAACCAGTCCCAGCTGCTGCAAAATCATGCCAAAATGTAAAGACCATCGAGACTAGGAAGAAACTGCATCAACTAACGAGCAAAATAACCAGCTAACATCATAATGACAGGATCAAATTCACACATAACAATATTAGCTTTAAATGTAAATGGACTAAATGCTCCAATTGAAAGACACAGACTGGCAAATTGGATAAAGAGTCAAGACCCATCAGTGTGCTGTATTCAGGAAACCCATCTCATGTGCAGAGACACACATAGGCTCAAAATAAAAGGATGGAGGAAGATCTACCAAGCAAATGGAAAACAAAAAAAGGCAGGGGTTGCAATCCTAGTCTCTGATAAAACAGACTTTAAACCAACAAAGATCAAAAGAGACAAAGAAGGCCATTACATAATGGTAAAGGGATCAATTCAACAAGAAGAGCTAACTATCCTAAATATATATGCACCCAATACAGGAGCACCCAGATTCATAAAGCAAGTCCTGAGTGACCTACAAAGAGACTTAGACTCCCACACATTAATAATGGGAGACTTTAACACCCCACTGTCAACATTAGACAGATCAACGAGACAGAAAGTTAACAAGGATACCCAGGAATTGAACTCAGCTCTGCACCAAGCGGACCTAATAGACATCTACAGAACTCTTCACCCCAAATCAACAGAATATACATTTTTTTCAGCACCACACCACACCTATTCCAAAATTGACCACATACTTGGAAGTAAAGCTCTCCTCAGCAAATGTAAAAGAACAGAAATTATAACACATTATCTCTCAGACCACAGTGCAATCAAACTAGAACTCAGGATTAAGAATCTCACTCAAAACCGCTCAACTACATGGAAACTGAACAACCTGCTCCTGAATGACTACTGGGTACATAACGAAATGAAGGCAGAAATAAAGATGTTCTTTGAAAGCAACGAGAACAAAGACACAACATACCAGAATCTCTGGGACGCATTCAAAGCAGTGTGTAGAGGGAAATTTATAGCACTAAATGCCCACAAGAAAAAGCAGGAAAGATCCAAAATTGACACCCTAACTTCACAATAAAAAGAACTAGAAAAGCAAGAGCAAACACATTCAAAAGCTAGCAGAAGGCAAGAAATAACTAAAATCAGACAGAACTGAAGGAAATAGAGACACAAAAAACCCTTCAAAAAATTAATGAATCCAGGAGCTGGTTTTTTGAAAGGATCAATAAAATAGACCACTAGCAAGACTAATAAAGAAAAAAAGAGAGAAGAATCAAATAGATGCAATAGAAAATGATAATGGGGATATCACCACCGATCCCACAGAAATACAAACTACCATCAGAGAATACTACAAACACGTGTACGCAAATAAACTAGAAAATCTAGAAGAAATGGATAAATTCCTTGACACATACACTCTCCCAAGACTAAACCAGGAAGAAGTGGAATCCCTGAATAGACCAAAAACAGGATCTGAAATTGTGGCAATAATCAATAGCTTACCAACCAAAAAGAGTCCAGGACCAGATGGATTCACAGCCGAATTCTAACAGAGGTACAAGGAGGAACTGGTACCATTCCTTCTGAAACCATTCCAATCAATAGAAAAAGAGGGAATCCTCCCTAACTCATTTTATGAGGCCAGCATCATTCTGATACCAAAGCCTGGCAGAGACACAACCAAAAAAGAGAATTTAGACCAATATCGTTGATGAACACTGATGCAAAAATCCTCAGTAAAATACTGGCAAAACAAATCCAGCAGCACATCAAAAAGCTTATCCACCATGATCAAGTGGGCTTCATCCCTGGGATGCAAGGCTGGTTCAATATATGCAAATCAATAAATGTAATCCAGCATATAAACAGAGCCAAAGTCAAAAACCACATGATTATCTCAATAGATGCAGAAAAGGCCTTTGACAAAATTCAGCAACCTTTCATGCTAAAAACTCTCAATAAATTAGGTATTGATGGGACGTATTTCAAAATAATAAGAGCTATCTATGACAGACCCACAGCCAATGTCATACTGAATGGGCAAAAACTGGAAGCATTCCCTTTGAAAACTGGCACAAGACAGGGATGCCCTCTCTCACCGCTCCTATTCAACATAGTGTTGGAAGTTCTGGCCAGGGCAATTAGGCAGGAGAAGGAAATAAAGGGTATTCAATTAGAAAAAGAGGAAGTCAAATTGTCCCTCTTTGCAGACGACATGATTGTATATCTAGAAAACCCCATTGTCTCAGTCCAAAATCTCCTTAAGCTGATAAGCAACTTCAGCAAAGTCTCAGGATACAAAATCAATGTACAAAAATCACAAGCATTCTTATACACCAATAACAGACAAACAGAGAGCCAAATCATGAGTGAACTCCCATTCACAATTGCTTCAAAGAGAATAAAATACCTAGGAATCCAACTTACAAGGGATGTGAAGGACCTCTGCAAGGAGAACTACAAAACACTGCTCAATGAAATAAAAGAGGATACAAAGAAATGGAAGAACATTCCATGCTCTTGGGTAGGAAGAATCAATATCGTGAAAATGGCCATACTGCCCAAGGTAATTTACAGATTCAATGCCATCCCCATCAAGCTACCAATGCCTTTCTTCACAGAATTGGAAAAAACTACTTTAAAGTTCATATGGAACCAAAAAAGAGCCTGCATCGCCAAGTCAATCCTAAGCCAAAAGAACAAAGCTGGAGGCATCACACTACCTGACTTCAAACTATACTACAAGGCTACAGTAAGCAAAACAGCATGGTACTGGTACCAAAACAGAGATATAGATCAATGGAACAGAACAGAGACCTCAGAAATAACGCCACATATCTACAACTATCTGATCTTTGACAAACCTGAGAAAAACAAGCAATGGGGAAAGGATTCCCTATTTAATAAATGGTGCTGGGAAAACTGGCCAGCCATATGTAGAAAGCTGAAACTGGATCCCTTCCTTACACCTTATACAAAAATCAATTCAAGATGGATTAAAGACTTAAACGTTAGACCTAGAACCATAAAAGCCCTAGAAGACAACCTAGGCAATACCATTCAGGACATAGGCATGGGCAAGGACTTCATATCTAAAACACCAAAAGCAATGGCAACAAAAGACAAAATTGACAAATGGGATCTAATTAAACTAAAGAGCTTCTGTACAGCAAAAGAAACTACCATCAGAGTGAACAGGCAACCTACAAAATGGGAGAAAATTTTTGCAACCTACTCATCTGACAATGGGCTAATATCCAGAATCTACAATGAACTCAAACAAATTTGCAAGAAAAAAAACAAACAACCCCATCAAAAAGTGGGCAAAGGACATGAACAGACACTTCTCAAAAGAAGACATTTATGCAGCCAAAAAACACATGAAAAAATGCTCATCATCACTGGCCATCAGAGAAATGCAAATCAAAACCACAATGAGATACCATCTCACACCAGTTAGAATGGCAATCATTAAAAAGTCAGGAAACAACAGGTGCTGGAGAGGATGTGGAGAAATAGGAACACTTTTACACTGTTGGTGGGACTGTAAACTAGTTCAACCATTGTGGAAGTCAGTGTGGCAATTCCTCAGGGATCTAGAACTAGAAATACCATTTGACCCAGCCATCCCATTACTGGGTATGTACCCAAAGGATTATAAATCATGCTGCTATAAAGACACATGCACACGTATGTTTATTGCGGCATTATTCACAATAGCAAAGACTTGGAACCAAGCCAAATGTCCAACAATGATAGACTGTATTAAGAAAATGTGGCACATATACACCATGGAATACTATGCAGCCATAAAAAATGGTGAGTTCATGTCCTTTGTAGGGACATGGATGAAATTGGAAATCATCATTCTCAGTAAACTATCACAAGAACAAAAAACCAAACACCACATATTCTCATTCATAGGTGGGAATTGAACAATGAGATCACATGGACACAGGAAGGGGAACATCACACTCTGGGGACTGTTGTGGGGTGGGGGGAGGGGGGAGGGATAGCATTGGGAGATATACCTGATGCTAGATGACAAGTTAGTGGGTGCAGCGCACCAGCGTGGCACGTGTTTACATATGTAACTAACCTGCACAATGTGCACATATACCCTAAAACTTAAAGTATAATAATAAAAGAAAAAAAAAAGAAAATGTGGCACATATACGCCATGGAATACTATGCAGCCATAAAAAAGGATGAGTTCATGTCCTTTGCAGAGACATGGATGAAGCTGGACACCATCATTCTCAGCAAACTAACACAGGAACAGGAAACCAAACACCGCATGTTCTCACTTGTTAAGTGGGAGTTGAACAATGAGAGCACATGGACACAGGGAGGGGAACATCACATGCTGGGGCCTGCTGGGGGTTGGGGGTGCTAAGGGAGGGATAGCATTAAGAGAAATACCTAATGTAGGTGATGGGTTGGTGAGTGCAGCAAACCACCACGGCACATGTATACCTATGTAAGAAACCTGCACGTCCTGCACATGTATCCCAGAACTTAAAGTGTAATAATAATAAAAAAGGAAATATAAAAAAGAAAAAGAATTGTCATCAATCTTGAAAAATAAAACAAACAAAAAAAAATTGTCCCATAAAAATCCTAAGAAAAAGCAAAACAAAAAACTAGGTCCAGATTACTTCCTTGGCGAATAGTATTCAATTTTAAACAGTGAATAATATCTATCTCACATAAACTTTTACAGAAAATAGAGGAGAAGAAAATACCATCATTCCATAAGGGAAGCTTTAGCCTAATACCTAAAGTGGACAAACCAATTATATAAAAAGTAAACTACAGTCAACACTGAACAATGTGAGTTTGAACTGCATGAGTCCGCTTTCATGCAATAGTTGGTTATAAACCTATATCATTTTTAAAGTTCTTAAAGTTTACCTTAGTAATTAGAACTAGTAAGCTGGTAGCCTTTCTTTTCCTTTCTATATTATTATTTTTTTGTATAGGAGGGGCTGAGGGCTGGTGACCAGTCTCTGTCATTCCCATAATGTCACCTTTTTTTTTTTGAGACCAAGTGTCTATCCCCTGGGCTGAAGTGTAGTGGTACAATCAGCTATTTATTTATTTATTCTTTTTTTTTTTTTTTTTGAAGACGGAGGCTCACTATATTGCCTAGGCTGGTCTTGAACTCCTGGCCTCAAGTAATTGCCCTGCATCAGACTACCAAAGTGTTGGGATTACAGGCATGAGTTACCACACCAGGCAGTAAAGTGGTATTCTGGATTTACTGATAAAAATGTGATGCCATTCTAACATTTTAGCACCAACCTTACCTTATCTGACTAGTGTGCTATTGTTACTGGCTATTTAAGATCTATATATATTTTACATCTCTAAAATATCATTGTTTTATATGTCAGGATTTATTCAGATTTACTCATTCACTTAATCTTCTCATTTGTTTTAATTCCTTTATCCAGAAATGAACTTCCTTCTGAGTTTTAGCCTAATACCTAAAGTGGACAAATGATCTAAAATACTAGTGGGAAAGCAAATAATATTCTTTCCAAATGTCTGAATAAATAGAATTCCAAATGTCTGAAGAATATTTTGATATTTTGCAGTTCTGGTGCAGTTATCCTAATAAAAACTCTATCACTATTTGTTTAATTCTCTGAAGATATCGTTAAGGTCCACAAAATTACATATTTCAGGTCTTTGGCTTGCATTGTTCTCACTGAGAAATAATCTCTTTCTTTTCTTGTTGTCCCTTTGAATGTAATCTAATCTTTTTTCTCTTGGCTTCTTTGAGGTTATTTTCGCCTTTGATGTTCAGAGTTTTACTATGATGTAACTCAATGTAATTTTATGTATGCTATTTGTGGTTCATGGAGCTTCCTTTTTCTGTGGCTGGCTTTATCATCAGATGAGAAAATTTTCAGTCAATATATTTTTAAATATTTCTCTACCTCAATCATTCTCTTGTCTATTTCTGAAATTTCAACCAAATATATTTTAAAGGTTTTTATTTTATTGCTTAAAATGTTTACATTCTCTTTTGTATTTTATATGCAAATGCAGATTTAAACTGCAAGGATCTGCTTATATGCAGATTTTCTTCCATCTCTAGCACGCCTGAGACAGCAAGACTAATCATTGCTGTTCTTCCTCCTCAGCCTACTCAATGTGAAAATGATAAAGATCTTTATGGTGACCCACTTTCATTCAGTGAATAGTGAACATATTTTCTCTTCCTTGTGATTTTTAAAATAACATGTCATTTTGTCTAGCTTACTTTATTGTAAGAATACATTATATAATACATGTAACATATAAAATATTTGTTGACAGTTTAAGTTATTGGTAATTCTTCCAGTCAACACTAGACTATTTGTGGTTAAGTTTTGGGGGAGTCAAAAGTTATATACAAATTTTCAGCTGTGCTGGTAGTTGGTGTTCTTAAGCCCTCCATTGTTCAAGAGCTGATACTAATATATATACTAATATTCCTCTGAATATACACAAATTCACCCCCAAAACACCGTAATGAGTGGTATATAACATGTGTTCTATACCATATAGAATGCATATAGAACATGCGTTCCAAGAACGCAAGATTGGTTTAACATTTGAAAATCAACTGGTATTGTTTGTCATATTAAAAAAGGGAGAAACAAAGTATGAACATTTTGACATTTGACAATATTTAATAAATCATTATGAAAAAATTATCTGTAAGCTAGAAATAGAAGCAAATTTCCTTAGTCTGTAATTATGCAGCTACGAAAACCTCCATCAATCATTATGCTTAATTGTGAATGATTGAAACCTTTTCTTTATTTAGATAAAAAAATAAGCAAGCTTGTCTGATGTTATCACTTTTATTCAATATTGCACTAGAAGTCCTACAAGTGCACTATGCATAAAGAATAAATAAGATAAAGTAACTTATGTCTGTAGAAGGTGATACAATTATACATGTAGATACTGTGGGTATTTAACAAGGAGATGAGGTAAAACCTAAATGAAGTAAGATAGTTTACAGAAAATCAATTCAATTCCTATAAAATAGCAATAAGAAATTGGAAATTGACATTAAAGTGCAGACAACCTTCACTTTGTACATTTCTGATATGCAAAAACTTCTTCAGTTACCACAGTTTAGTTAAACAAATCTAGCCTCAACTATCTACTACCATTATATATATATATGCGTGTGTGATGTGTGTGTTTGTTTACATATATATATATACACACATACACACTGTCATATGTATGCCTGTGTATATATATACATATATATACAAATATATATGTATATATATTTATCAGCTTATATATATCAGCTTACAGATTTATATGTATATATACTGTCAAATATATATTTATATATACATTATATATAAATGTGTATATAATGTCAGCTTACAAATCACTATGTAAATAAAAGATGCACATCATTACCAATGACCAAGAATCTGAAACATTACTTATTTCAAAGTCTGTTGGTGATTGATCATTGTGCATCTGTTACTTAGTTCATTCACAGACAGCATAATTTATACTTATGATGTAATCTGCCTTCTGTCACCTGGTAATAAATCCACTTGATATTTCACAAAATTGGGTAAGGAAAATATAGTATTTAAACTATTTTTGATACATTTTTCACAAGAAAATAAAGTGCTTTAATGGTCAATGTTTTTAATACTTTAAATTACATTGTACTACCTCTAGGTCTTTGAGGAAAGCCTCACTGTCTTCCACAATGGTTGAACTAATTTACACTCACTCCAACGGTGTAAAAACATTTATTTTTCTTCACAACCTCACCAGCATTTGTTGTTTATTGACTTTTTAATAGTAGCCATTCTGACTGGTGTGAGATGGTATCTCATTGTGGGTTTGATTTGCATTTCTCTAATGATTAGGCAAGAGCAAAGAGTTTATGATGAATAAAATGATCTCTTTTTATGTGTGATATTGAGCATTTTTTTCATATGATTGTTGGCTGTATGTATGTCTTCTTTTGGGAAGTATCTGATCATGTCTTTGCCCACTTTTTAATAGCATTGTTTATTTTTTCTTGTAAATTTGTTTAAGTTTCTTATATATGCTAGGTATCAGACGTTTGGCAGATGGATAGATTACAAAGATTTTCTTCCATTCTGTAAGTTGTTTACTTTGTTGATAGTTTCTTTTGCCATACACAAGCTGTTTAGTTTAATTAGACCTCATTTGTCAATATTTGCTTTTGATGCAATTGCTTTTGGCATCTTTGTCATAAAACCTTCACCCTCGCCTATGCCTTGAATGGTATTGCTTAGGTTTTCTTCTAGGGTTTTTACTGTTTTGGGTCTTTAATCCCTTTTGAGTTGATTTTTGTATATGGTGTATGGAAGGAATCCAGTTTCAATTTTCTTCATATGGCTAGCAAGTTCTCCCAGAACCATTTATTAAACAGGGACTCCTTTCCCCATTGCTTGTTTTTGTCAGGTTTTTGAAAAATCTGGTGATTGTAGGTGTGCAGTCTTGTTTCTGGGTTCTCTATTCTGTTCCATTGGTCTATGTGTCTGGTTTTGTACCAGTACCATGATGTTTTTGTTACTGTAGTCTTGTAATGTAGTTTGAAGTTGGGTAGTGTGATTCCTCCAGCTTTTTTTTGTTTTGTTTTTCCTTAGGATTGCCTTGGCTACTGGGGCTCTTTTTGGTTTCATATAAATTTTAAAATAGATTTTCTAATTCTGTGAATAATATCAATGGTAGTTTACTGAAAATAACATTAAATCTATACATTGCTTTGGGCATTAAGGCCATTTTCACAATATTGATTCTTCCTACCCATGAGCATGGAATGTTTTTCCATTTGTTTGTGTCATCTCTGGTTCCTTTGAGCAATGGTTTGCAGTTCTCCTTGAAGAGGTTCTTCACTTACCTTGTTAGCTGTATTCCTAGGTATTTTATTCTTTTTGTGGCAATTGTGAATGTGAATTCATTCGTGATTTGCCTCTCAGCTTGCCTGTTGTTAGTACATAGGAATGCTTGTGATTTTTGCAGATTGATTTTGTATCCTGAAACTTTGCTCAAGTTGTTTATCAGCTTAAGAAGCTTCTGGGCTGAGATGATGGGGTTTTCTAGATATAGAATCATGTCCATTTGCAAACAAAAATAGTTTGACTTCTTCACTTCTTATTTGAGTACACTTTATTTCTTTCTCTTGCCTGATTGCCCTGGCCAGAACTTTCAATACTATGTTGAATAAGAGTGATGAGAGAGCACATCCTTGTCTTGCACTGACTTTCAAGGGGAATGCTTTCAGTTTTTGGCCATTCAGTATGACACTGGCTGTGGGTTTGTCATAGATGGCTCTTATTATTTTGAGGTATTTTCCTTCAAAATACAATTTTTTGAGAGTTTTTAACATGAAAGGATGTTAAATTTTATTGAAGGCCTTTCCTGCATCCGTTGAAATAATCATGTGGTTTTTATCTTTAGTTCTGTTTATGTGATGAATCACATTTATTGATTTGCATATGTTGAACCAGTCTTGCATCCCAAGGATGAAGTGTACTGTATTATGGTGGATTAGCTTTTTGATGTGCTGATGAATTCACTTTGCAAGTATTTTGTTGAGGAATTTTGCATTGATGTTCATCAAGCATATTGGCCTGAAGTTTTCCCTTTTTTGTTGTATCTCTGCCAGGTTTGGTATCAGGATGCTGCTGGCCTCATAGAATAAGTCATGGAGGAGTCCCTCTTTTTCAATTTTTTTTTGGAATACTTTTAGTATGAATGGTACCAGCTCTTCTTCATACCTCTGGTATCCCATTACTGGGTGTAAGCCCAAAGGAATATAAATTGTTCTATTACAAAGAAACATGCTCTCATATGCTCATTGCAGCACTATGCACAATGGCAAAGACATGGAATCAACCTAAATGTCCATCAGAGATAGACCGGATAAAGAAAATATTGTTACATATACAACATGGAATAGTATGCAGCTATAAAAAATGAGATCATATCATTTTTAGGGACATGGATGGAGCTGGAGGCCATTATTCTTAGCAAACGAATGCAGGTAGTTATGTGTGGGAAATGAATGATGAGAACACATGGACATATGCGGTGGTCGCGGGGGCGGTGGAACAGAACACACTGAGGTCTGTTGGAGACAGAGTAGGAGGTAGGAGGAGGGAGAGCATCAGAAAGAATAGCTAATGGATTCTAGGCTTAATACCTGATGATTGGAAGATGTGTACAGCAAACCATCATGGCACACAGTTACCTATATAACAAACCTGCACATGTACCCCTGAATTTAAAATAAAAGTTGGAAATAATAGCAATAATAATAAAGAAAAAAAATTTCCTATTTTTTGACCACCCCATCCAACATCCTACCTGAGTAGACTCACATACACAGTAAAAAAATTACATTGTACTAAATAAATATTGTTTGTTAAACAATTTCTGTAGACTTTCATAACGTACAATAGAATTAGTTACTGATATAGGCAGTCATCTCTTGTTATCAATAGGAGATTTGTTTCAGGACAATCCAATCCCCCACCATACCTCACCCACCTCCTATAGATACCCAAATCTGGGAACGCTCAAGTCCCTTATATAAAATGGTATATTTTGCAACTGCTCTCTAGCCTAGGCAATAGAGCAAAACTCTGTCTCAAAAAATTGTATAGCATTTGCATGTAACCTATGAACATTCTTCTGTAGATTTTGAATTATCTCCAGATAATTTACAATACCTAATACTATGTAAGTGCTGTGTAAGTAGTAGTTATACATTTTTATTTGTATTATTTTTATTATTTTTTATTATTTCATTGGTTTTTATTTAATTTTTAAAAATTTTTGATCTGAGGTTTGTTGAATTCTCAAATGCAGTACACATGGGTATAAAGAGCTGACTGTACACACACACACACGTGTGTGTATGTAAAATGTAAAATATGCAAAATGTAAAAAAGTAAAAATACTTTTATATCTTGGCAACACTTTTAAAGGGCACAGAAAAATTTGATTTCATTATTATAGTTATTATCGTTTCAATGATTACTGAGATTATTTTAAAACATTTAAGCTTGCACATTAATTTAAAGTTTGAAATATGCAATATATAGTCAAAAGAGTTAACATTCTTGTGAGATGTATTGTTATGAGCTGAATTCTATTCCCCAAAATTTATAGGCTGAAGCCCCTAAATCTCCACTGCATTAGAATGTTACCATATTGGGAGGTAGGGCCTTTAAAGAGATATTAGGTGAAAAGGAAGCCATTTCATTAAAGGATGACTTTGTGAATATACAGCAAGAGGATGATCATTTTCAAGCCACAGCAAGAGATGCCTTAGAGGAAACCAAATGTGGCAGTGCCTTAACCTTACACTTCAAGACCTCCAAAAATGTGGAAAACTAAGTTCTTCTTCTTTAAGTCCCTCAGTGCTTGGTATTTTCTTATTGCAGCCCTAGCAAACTAATATACCCATACACTGGAAAACAAAACATTACAGATAGAAATTGAACTTGAAATCAGTTTGATGTATTCAATCTTCTTGAATACAAAAATTCCATATTAAGATATCAGTTCCCTCCAAATTGACTTATAGGTTCAATGCAGTCCTAAGCCAAATCTAAGCTAGCTGTTTAAAAATAGAAATTAACAAGTTAACTTTTAAATTTGTATAAAAATGCAAAGGATTTAAATAGCTAAAGCAATTTTGAAGAGAGTTACTAAGTTGGATGAGCTTTTATTACCTGAATTCAAAACATAATAATGATTCTTTAACCAAGATAATGATATATTTGCATAAGCACAGACATTTAAATCAACAGAATTCAGAAATTGATCCATGAATACAGCCAATTAAATTTAAAGAAATAAAACATCAAGGTAACTGAATAAGAAGTGCTATTCTTAACAAATTATACAGAAAAATCTGATAAATATTTTGAAAAAAAGAATCTCAACTTTTACATCAAACAATATACCAAAATTAGTACAAAATAAGTCAAATATTGTGGTATAAATGTACAAACTACAAAAGTTCAAAGAAAAAATATATTTGTGACATTGCAATATGCAAACACCAGCCACAAACAAACATGAAGCATAAAGTTGCCGAGAAAGATAAAATCGAGCTCATAAAAAATTTTTAAAAAGTGTTCTGTATGAAAGATACCATTAAGAAAAATGAAAAACAAACCAGATACTGAGAGGGAGTATTTATAAAACACACATTTGAAAATGGAATGGCAAAACAGAAAAGATTATTTTATTCACAAAAGCAAAAACGTAGAAGCTACCCAAATATGTAGATATATTTGAGATATTTATTCAGCAATTTAAAGAACAAACTACTGGTAAACCACCTGTATGGAGTTCCTCAAAAGAACATTATCCTTAGAAAAAAAATGATAAAATGCATAAATACTGAATCTCTATTCATATCTACCTATTGCCTATGATTACATTCTTTCTTTCTGTTAACTATCTATCTAATTCTAAGAAAGACATATCTCATCTACTTTGATTAAATGTTAGTCACTATAATATTATGACAATATTTTAGTGATTATTAAGGTAGTGTTAACACATGTATATAAATTTACAAATTCCATCAAACTGTACAATTTAGGAATGTATTTTGTCTTGTATATATTAGGTCTTAAAGTATTTAATTAAAAAATGAGAATGTCAGTCAAAAGAGCTAATGTACTGCAGTATAAACTCTGACCCTAAAGAAGAAATAATCTCTAAGAATAATTTGCAATACAAAATTACTAATATTATAAAATATTAAGTATACTTAATAAGATGCACAACATACCTTTATGTAAAAGAATTGCCTATGTTTTGCATCCATTTACCTGATCTCCATATATTCTACATCTTACAATTCTGATTTTCAGAATTCCACTGAAGTGACTCATGTCACCATTATCAATTATCTAAATTTACTAAACACAGTACATATTAGTTCCTCATGCTGCTGAATCTCTCATTAAACCTCAAAGATTCATTTGAGTTTTCTCCCTTTCTATGTTTTAACAACACTAGTGTTATATAAGGACAAAATTTTCCTACCGAATACTAAAATACATTCCAGCAATATAAAGTCACCGTAGTTTCAGATAACTTTTAAACACTTTAAGCAACTAAGCAAAATTATTAGCAGACAATTTTAAGTGTTTAAGTTTTTGCAGTTATTGAAAGAAAGTCCTATTAAATTATGCATAAAAATAGATTAAGCAAAGTGTGAAAACTCTGCTATTATCACTACAACACTTGTTCCCATATCTAGAACTTCTATGAATAGTTGTTGAAGTAAAAACAATACATATTCAGTAACATAGCAGCAGCAGGCCATCCACTCACTCTTCAAAATAGTGATTTTTTTTAATGAACTATATCATGAATATAATAAACAGTTTGTTTTTTCTATGCCTGAGAACTCTCAACCTCTGGTCACACCACTTTTAAATTGTGACATCAAATAAATATACAGAGATGGAAAAATACTATTTCCTTTTTTCCTTCCTTCTTTCTTTTCTTCTTTCCTTCCATCTCTCTGCCTCTCTGTCTCTCTCTCTTCTCTCTCTATTTGTGGCAAGGGCCCAGTCAGGATACAATTCACCTTTTTCAAAGATTGGAACGCTGTCTTTAAAATGTATATGGTTTGCATGAAAGAAAGAAATGTATACGGTTTGCATAAAATATATCTGTCTTTGGGATTCTAGACAAGAGAGAACCTTCTAGGTGGCAGCTTTTCCAAAGTTATTGTAAAATTCCCTGAATTAAAATGGTGTCTAATTTCATTACTTGTTGCTATTGCTGAATACAATAATCTGGGTAATTTAGAAAGAAAAGAAATTTATTTCTTGTGGTTCTGGATACTGGGAAGTCCAAGGTTGAGGGGCTTCATCTGGTGAGGGACTTCCAACTGCATCATAACATGGCAGAGGGCATCACATGAAGAGAGGCCAAGAGCATGTGTGCACATCAGGTCTCTTTTCCTCTTTTTATAAAGTCATAACTCCCATTATGGGGGTCTCACCCTGATGGCCTTATCTAATCTTAATTACCTTCCAAAATCTCTACTTTCAGTCAACATATGAATTTGACAATTAAGGTTTTAACACATGAAATTTGGGGGACACATTCAAACAATAATACAGGGTAATTCAAGATGATAAAGAATTAAACTTATTTCCAGCACTTGTGTTTGTGTTTGAACTTGTGAATCAGTAAAGGTTACTGTCTCATAATGACTCTAATATGGACACTTTAGCTAAATATGTGTACATTTAGTTTCGTTAATGGGAATCTGTGGTAATGGTTATTAACATGGTCATTTGATGCACAGGAGAGTACAAAAAAGTAAAGAAACTGATAGAACATATGGAGGTTCATATGGTTGTCATTTACAATTTAATTATGCAAAATAGGAGCTGTGTATGTTACTCTGTAATAATACTTTTATTAGACAGAAGATTTATACAAATTATACAACTTTTAGTATAGGAATGACACTAAAAGTGAAGCAAACATTTTATATTAATAAGCTTTAGTGATTCCATGTAGAATAAATATATACATAAATTTGGTGAACTAAATTAGGTGAAAAATGATATTGCTTCCTCACAGTTTTACTTAACTATTTATCTAGGTCTGTTTAATTAGAGGTAATATAAATGTAAAATATTTTCCTGAAGAAAATACATACCTATAGGATGTTATCATTTCTAGAAGAAAAAAAAATTCTTGTTCTACTAAAAAAGTATACTTTACAAGTTATTCCAAAATTTTATCACCTAGGCAGATCGATTTAATTAGTTCTGTTGTAATTATTGTTAGTATTATTACCATATTAAACAAAATTATTTCTCTAAGTCTATAGGTAAACTGCTATATTTTTAAGAATATTGACCAGACTTAATTAATGCTAATGATGATATGTTGAGGAAATCACCCAGACAAATTATTCTAGATAATTCATTGCTAAAGAAATTGTGATTTAGTATATGACCAATTTAGCAATCTGTATTTATAGGACACAGGATTCACTGATTTTTATATTGTTTTAAGCCATGCTAACTGCCTGATTTCTCTGTAAATTTACTATATCACAAATTTTAAGTTGCTTGATGTGGTTAAAAATATTATTTACAATTAACATTTTATTAGTATAACATAACAATCATAATTTCTGTTCAACTATCAATACCCTTAAAATATAGCATAGAATTTTTTAAATGACTGTTAATATATCATATTAATTATATTAATAGTATATGAATGTTAATAAATATTGCTTATTTTATGTATATAACTATTAAATAATACAAAAATAATATACATTTTGTATAATAATACTCTATTTTCATTTACATCTGTTGTTCTTCACAGGATATCAGGTTAAATATAAATAAAATATATTGATAATTTTATTTCAATTAATTCCAAAAATACTTTTTTATATCATTTTATTAATATAATTTTACCTAAATATATAAAAATTCATTGACAAATACGGAAGTTATTTAAAATTTGAAGAACTGCAATTGAAAAAGATATGAGAAAAAACACTATCTTCTTCAAAATTTATCTTAATTAACAGGACACTTGAAAGTTACATTTGGTGGTAGCTAATTATGTCTTTCATTGGTTTGACCTATTTCCCATTACTTTTTGAACTGTTCTCCTTTATTCCTCAATGTCTCACAACCCATCTTAAGAATTTGTGAATCTGGTACTCCTGCCTCGTAAATATGCTTTAGAATATCAAATTATTAGATTACGTCCAGTGGTGTAGATTATTTAGATAAGTAGGCACTTCTGGCACTAAAGAATATCTTTAGTGGTTTCCAAACTATGCTCAAAGTCTAAGATGAGAAGTTATATTTTCTCCAAAGTTTTCCCAATTTGATGACAATCACATTAGACTCACAGTCACACTTTCCCAATGGCTTATAAATGTATAGCGTAATAATTTTAAGGTAGGTAACAACTTGATTATTCACGTCTTTACATTTCACTAAACTATAACCATGCTCATGTCACCAAATGTTTTATCAAAATCCTGTCATGATCATAGACTTGTTATGTTTAAAAAGCTATGAACTCTACAGTGAAAATTTTGTGGCTTGGGGAGACATATGGAAACACACAGAAAAATATTTTTGTGTGAATGAAATTAAAAGAACAAAATAAAGAAAACCTTTATGGTAATTAATTCAAGCAATAATTTTTAAACACTAGACATAAAAATTCAGTAATATAATTAAAAATTCTCAACTTTAACTTTTAGTTGATAATGATGTCTATGTATTTATTTGAATATTATATCACTTGAATGTAACTACAATTGAAGAAAAAAGCTGTTTCCTTGAATGTTTTCTATTTAGACATGTAGAAAGATAGGAAGTATTATCTTGCCATCTATAAGAAAGTAAAACATATTTTTTATGAAAAATAAAAGTAAAATTCTAAGCCCCTAATTTTCTGAATGGACCCCCTCTTGGCCAAGGGAACCTCAGAGAAACCTTGAAAGTTGTGGTGTAAGTTTTGATGAAAGAAAAACATTCAACAAATTAATGTCAACAGAATTTAACAAGTGAAAAATAGGGAATGACTTATTTACCATATATTTACCCCTCCTCTTCCCATTACTTCCCCTTCTGTCCAGAAGTCCAAAATCACTTTTCTTCTGTTTAGCCTAACATATATATTAGCCTCAGTCATGGCTACCTACTTGAGTCTCATTACTTTGTAAAACTCCTATGCATAATTAAACTGTTTTTTCTTCTTTAAGGGCTAAACAGATACCTGCATTTTCAAAGGCCTACTAGCTTATCTTCCCAGGTACAGAAAAAGACAAGATGAGATTAATAATTCCTTTGAACTTCCCTAATGCAGGCCTTATCTTATATAAAACATAGATTTACCATGCAGTAACTAAATTCTCACAAGTATGTAATCATTTGCCCCACTGCAACTTCCCCCCTCTGTTTTTAAAGAAAATGTATAAATACTAAACTTTCTGAAAACGTTTTTGGGAAAAAACAACCACAGACGCTGCACCTACAAGATGGCTCAATAAACTTCAATAATTTGATACTTACATCTCCATCACTCATTTTGGTTGGCAATGACATTTCCACTATTATGTACTTATTTAAAACAGTATTTTAATTTTGTTCTCTAAATTTCATCAGAGAATTTAAGGTCAATTTTTAATACTATTATTAATAAATGCTGCTCTTAATTTCCACCCTGTAGGATTTGATGTTTAAAAAAATCTAAAACCTCATACCAACAAATCTAGTTTGCAATTGCTTGTGGTAGAAATAAATGGATTTCATGAATGGTTACCGAAAGAGAAAGCACAGTGTGAAGTAAATCTTATTTTGACTTTAATGTTGAATCAGTATGTTTTCAGAATATCAATTGCTATTTTGCTAAGTTAGAAAAAGATTAGCTCACACTAATTCTACTACAATAAATAGATAATACAAATGTCAAACAATAATTGTTTTTTATTATTATTATTTTACTTTAAGTTTTAGGGTACATGTGCACATTGTGCAGGTTAGTTACATGTGTATACATGTGCCATGCTGGTGTGCTGCACCCATTAACTCATCATTTAGCATTAGGTATATCTCCTAATGCTATCCCTCCCAACTCCCCCCACCCCACAACAGGCCCCAGAGTGTGATGTTCCCCTTCCTGTGTCCATGTGTTCTCATTGTTCAATTCCCATCTATGAGTGAGAATATGCAGTGTTTGGTTTTTTGTCCTTGCAATAGTTTACTGAGAATGATGATTTCCAATTTCATCCATGTCCCTACAAAGGACATGAACTCATCATTTTTTATGGCTGCATAGTATTCCATGGTGTATATGTGCCACATTTTCTTGATACAGTCTATCATTGTTGGACATTTGGGTTGGTTCCAAGTCTTTGCTATTGTGAATAGTGCTGCAATAAACATACGTGTGCATGTGTCTTTATAGCAGCATGATTTATAGTCCTTTGGGTATATACCCAGTAATGGGATGGCTGGGTCAAATGGTATTTCTAGTTCTAGATCCTTGAGGAATCGCCACACTGTCTACCACAATGGTTGAACTAGTTTACAGTCCCACCAACAGTGTAAAAGTGTTCCTATTTCTCCACATCCTCTCCAGCACCTGTTGTTTCCTGACTTTTTAATGATTGCCATTCTAACTGGTGTGAGATGGTATCTCACTGTGGTTTTGATTTGCATTTCTCTGATGGCCAGTGATGATGAGCATTTTTTCATGTGTCTTTTGGCTGCATAAATGTCTTCTTCTGAGAAGTGTCTGTTCATGTCCTTTGCCCACTTTTTGATGGGGTTGTTTGTTTTTTTCTTGTAAATTTGTTTGAGTTCATTGTAGATTCTGGATATTAGCCCTTTGTCAATTGTTAACGACTTTGAACTAGACAGCAGAGTAACTATGCTTGTAGTGAAACCGACAAAAGAATTACAGAAATCTGTCAACTGCATTGTAGGGGAGGAAAATATCTTTTTTCTTTACCTATCTTCGGTTCATTTGCTTCAGTGCCAGAAATTAAACTGACTACACACAAATTAACAAAAAAAAGTTTGATTATGCATAGGAGTTTCACAAAGTAATGAAACTCATGTAGGTGGTAGGTGGCCATGACTGAGGCTAATACATATGTTAGGCTAAGAAGGTGAAGAAAAGTGATTTTGAACTTCTGGACAGAAGACGACGTAATGCGAACAGGAAGGGTAAATATATGGAAAATAAGTCATTCCCTATTTTCCACTCATTAAATTCTGTTGAAGTTGTTTAAACTTTTTCTTTGATCAACACTTACACCACAACTGAAGTTTTTTTGGTAGTTTTTAATCAAAACAAAACATGCTATTATAAGAACATAAAGTGCTTTAAATGTTTTCAGAAAATATTTTCTGAAAATGCCTTCAGATACAAATGTATCTTTGTCATAGTTGCCATACTAACATCACAACTGAACTTTCATTTTGTAATTCAACCTCTCTCTCTCTCTCTATATATATAATATATATATGTAGACAATCTGATATTGTCTATTCTGAAACACTCTCCCCGTGATAATAATGTGGTCCTCAATGATTTTCTTCACATAAATCTGATGGATCTTTATTCTAAACAACTTCTACTTATATTCTCTGTTAAAGAAGAGTTTTCTCCATCTTTTACCTTCTTTTCTTTAGGACTTTTAATCAGAACATGTCCTTTTCCCTAAGACAGAGACTATTACGTTCTGGAATTCACTATCTTCTCTCCTAGTGGCCATAGTTATTTACTCAAAGCTAAATCTGCCTCCCCCATTGAGCATGAGACACACAAACATCTTGAAGAAGAATGCCTGTAACACCTTCTTCCTTTCCTTAAACCCTGCTTTTGAAACAGCATGCCCCACTGTAGTCTGTCATTCACATTTTTGCCCACTGTGCTTTCCAAGATAAAATATCTTACTGGTAACATACTTCCTGAATCTTAATTATTTCTTGAGTTAAGTGTACTTCCCTGGGCATGGGTGCTGACCAGTATTCCATACTAAGAATATTTACTGTGAGTTCTATAGGGACTGGTTCACTTTTATTTTTCACGTCCTGCTTCAAATTAACCATGATGTACTTTGAAAGCTTCGTGTTTTTGAACATGTGTTTCAGTTTGCTGCTAAAGGCCACATTGCACTCATGTGTGAACTTTGACAACACAGCTTTTTTAGCATCAACTGAGGCAATTTTTCCAACAAAAAATCTTCTTGTCAAATTTTTTTTTAATAGAATGTTTCAAATACATTGATATGGTTTGGCTCTGTAACAAAGAAAATTGCTACCAGGACCATTGCTATAATGACATCTGAAAATGTCAAAGCAGCTTTGGAATTGGGTAATGGGAGGAGGTTGGAAGACTTTGGAGGGCTCAGATAGAAGACCAAAAGATGAGCAGAGTTTGGAACTTTCTAGAGACTTGTTGAATAGTTGTGACCAAAACGCTGATAGTAACATGGACAGTGAAGTTCAGGCTGAGGTGGTCTCTGAGGGACATGAGGAACTTATTGGAAAATGAAGTAAAAGTCACTCTTGCTATGCTTTATCACAGACACTGGCAGCATTGTGCCCCTGCTCTAGCGATCTGTGGAACTCTGAACTTGAGAGAGATAATTTAGGGTATCTGATGGAAGAAATTTCTAAGCAGCAAAGCATTCAAGATTTAACCTGGCTGCTTCTAGTAGCATATGTTCATATGTGTGAGCTAAGAGATGATCTGAAACTGGAAATTGTATTGAAAAAGGAAGCAGAGCATACAAGTTTGGAAAATTTGAAGCCTGATCATGTGAGAGAAAAGAAAAACCCATTTTTAGGGGAGGAACTCAAGCCAACCATGGAAATTTGCTTAAGTAAAGAGAAGCTGCATATTAATAGCCAAGACAATGAGGAAAATGCCTGGAAGGCCTTTCAGAGACCTTCATGGCAACCCTTCCCATCACAGGCATGGAGTTCTAGGAGGAAAAAATGGTTTCCTGGGCCAGGCCCAGGCCCAGGTACCTATTGCCCTGTGCAATCTCAGAGCACTGTTTGTTGTGTCCCAGATGCTCCAACTCTAGCCACAGATAAAAAAGTTCCAGATATATCTCAGGCCACTCCTCCAGAAGGTCCAAGCCTTAAGCCTTGGTGACTTCCATGTGGTGTTAAGCCCGCAAATGCACAGAGGGAAACAGTTGAGGCTTGGGATTTCAGATCCTAAGATTTCAGAGGATATAAAGAAACACCCAGATGTTCAGGTAGAAGTATGGTACAGGGGTAGAGCCCTCATGGATAACCTCTACTAAAGAAGTGCAGAGGGGAAACGTGGAGTTGGAGCCCCCACAAATGGCCCCCACTGGGGCACTGCCTATTGGAGCTGTGAGGAAAGAGCCACGATCCTCAAGAACCCAGAATGGTAGATGCACAAACAGCTTGCATCATGCACCTGATAAAGCTGCAGACACTCAACGCCAGTCTGTGAAAGCAGCTGTGGGGGCTTTACCCTGTAGGGCCAGAGGGGCAGAGCTTCCCAAGGCCTTGTGAGCCCAGTCCTTGCATCGATGTTGCCTGGATGTGAGACATGTAGTCCAAGGTGATAGTTTTGGAGTGTTAAGATGTAATGACTGCCCTGCTGGGTTTCAGACTTTCATGGGTCCTGTTGCCCCTTTGTTTTGCCCAATTTCTCCCTTTTGGATTGGGAGTGTTTGCCCAATGCCTGTGCCACCATTGTATTTTGGAAGTAACTAGTAACTTGTTTTTAATTTTTCAGGTTTATAGGTGAAAGGGACTTGCTTAGTCTCAGACGAGGCTTTGGACTTGGACTTTTGAATTCATGCTAAAATGAGTTAAGACATTGGGGGACTGTTGGGAAGGCACAATTGTGTTTTAAAATGTGAGAGAAATGTGAGATGGGGGAGGGGCCAAGGGAGGAATAATATGGTTTTCTCTGTGTCCCCACTCATATCTCATGTTGGATTATAATCCCCATCATTGGAGGTGGGGCCTGATGGGAGGTGATTGGATCATGGGGGTGGTTTTTTATGGCTTAGCACTATCCCCCTAGCGCTGTCTTGTGACAGAGTTCTCACTAGATCTGTTTTTTTAAAAATGTGTAGCACCTCCTCCTCCACTATCTTCCTCCTGCTTGAGCCATGCAAGATGTGCTTGCTTTCACTTTGACTTCCGCCATGATTGAAAGTTTCTTGAGGCCTCCCCAGCCACACTTCCTATAGAGCCTATGGCATTGTGAGTAAATTAAATCTTTTTTAAAAAATAAATTAATGTATTTAAAATTAATAGTTCTTTATAGCCATGCAAGAACAGACTAATGCATACATCTTTATTGGGAAGGAACCTAAATATTATCTTAATCTTGTCCAGGATCCTTTCTAGCTCTTTGTTCACTGTTTCTTTTTAGCTCACTTCTAACTTTGAATCAACATACTTTGTGATGAGGTCTGCAGGCTTTTTTGGTCTCTTGTTGGTCTCTGTTGAAGAACATCTGGAAGTACCCCATCAGGTTGAAAAATCTCTCATTCTTCTAGCAAATCTTTGTCATGTGGCCCCCTTTGTCCTTGAAGTCCAGCAGGTCAGCAGGTCTTGTACCACATATTTGTATTTCTCAGGATTTGTGACAATTGTTGTCCTCAAAGTCTTGATGTATTCACTCTGATGTTACAGCAGCAACTTCTGCCTGCCTTTCACCCGGCTGAACAGTTGATTTCTCTGTGGAAGATTGAGCGCTTTGTGCTCATCAAGTAAGTAGTCAGGCTTTTTCTGCAGAATTGCTGTAAAATGTTCTCCTAATAGCTGTTTCTCCACAAAAGCAATCAGTGATTTCTATGTTCTGTCTTCTAAATATGTAATTACTGAGTCTCCTTATTCTTCCAAATGTCTACTTATGTGGTTAAGATATTCTAGATCATCTCTTTCTTGAATTAACCTTTGGCCTTCTGTAGCATGTAAACAATGAGTCTCTTCCAAACATTTCAGTTTAAATGAATCTTTATGTAACTGAAGATGAGAGAGCATATCTGTAAATTTATAATAAGCTTCTGTCTAGGGCTTCATGATCTTTCTCTCATTCAATTAATGGAAGAATGATATCAATGATTTTACTCCAATCCATTTCATCACTAATAATATAGTTTCTAAATATTTTCATCTCATATCCCAGACAGAAGGAAGGCTGGAGCTCTGATGTACAAAAGTGTGATTAAAAAACAAGAAAATGCTTCTAATCATGATCATTTGTCTGCAGTGATCTTGTCAACATGTATTAAACTTCCGTAACAATAAAAAAACTGGGTGCGATAGCTCACACTTGTAATCCCAGCACTTTGGGAGGCCGAGGTGGGGGGATCACCAGAGGTCAGGAGTTCAAGACCAGCCTGACCAACATGGAGAAACTCCATCTTTACTAAAATTACCAAATTAGCCAGGCGTGCTGGCCATTGCCTGTAATCCCAGCTACTTGGGAGGCTGAGGCAGGACAGTCTCTTGAACCCAGCAGGCAGAGGTTGCAGTGAGCTGGGATCGCACCATTGCACTCCAGCCTGGGCAACAAGAGCAAAACTCCGTCTAAAAAATAAATAAATAAATAAATAAATAAATAAATAAATAAATAAATAAAACACTATCTATTGAGTCTTCTCCAGAGGTAAGGATTTGTACCTGTTCATAATCTTCACAGGTTTGGAGCAGCTGCTAGTAGAGTGGTAGTCTTTGTGAGAAAAAAGATTTTCATTAGGTTGTCTTACAATCCCTGGGCCACCTGGCCTCCATCCCCATCATATATATGTATATATGTATATATGTGTGTATATATATGTATGTATGTATATATGTATATATATGTATATATGCATACATATATGTATATGTGTGTATATGTATACATGTGTACTCATATGTATATATGTGTATATGTATACATGTGTACTCATATGTATATATGTGTATATATGTACATATATGTATATACACACATATATAACACTTATATATATAACATATATATAACTTATGTATATAACACATATATAACACACACACTTATATATATAACAAATATATATTTTTTTATTTATTTAATTTACCTGGACCAATATTTATGAATAACAAAAGCAGACAAATCAAGCAACTTATTTCAGTTAGAATGGACTTAGTGAAAACAGACAACTGAACTGGTATTAGGATGTATGACAACTCACACAATTCTTCATTATCTTTCCTTAGTTTTGGTTCTTTCCACTTGCATTCATCTCTTTATTATATTTCTCAGCAAGGTGGCAATAACTAGATTATTTTCTCATGTGAGCAGATCCCAATTTAGCCAAATATTGGGCAACATACATCATATTTTTCATTTGTTACTGAGTAAACTTGAGCTAACCTTAGTTGCCATTGGTTAAAAAATTAAGGATTGACATGTATAAGAGAACTGGTAAATGCTAACAGACAGAGAACAAGGTGTAAAAAAGTTTAGGCTTCTGTAATCTTTAGTATGAACCAAACATTAAAATTAGCCACTTAGAGAAATATTTCTCCAAAATAAATTTTAAGTTAATAAGTAAGTATCATGGGTTGTAAATTTTTCAAAGTTTGATATTTGTCTTTATATATTATGTATAGTTTTTATATTTGGTTGGTGGGTTAGCTTATCTCTTTAAAGTCAAATAATTCTTTTTCAATTGCTTCTGGATTTTTAAGTTGTAAGAAAATGTTTTCACTTCTTGAATGTGTTAGAAAATTTCTGTAATAACTAAATTAAAGTCAATTGTAAAATTAAAACAAAGCATTGTGAAAGAAGTAAATAAATACAAAGCAATTGTAGAAGAGTAAAAAATATATTTTATGTCTACCCTTCTAAGTTCTTGGCTAGGTGTCCTGTATCAAAAGAAATTAGAAGGAGAAAAGTGTACAACTTTAATTAATGTAAGTTTTACATTACATGGGAATCTTTATAAGGAAATGAAAAGCTGAAGAAACAGATAAACCTGAGTGTCTTTAAGTTAGATTTAAAGAGGTTTAGGGAGTCATGGGAAAATGTCATTGGACCAAAAGATCTATGAGTTACTAGTAGTAAACTAAGGGGAATTTAACAAAAGCTGTTCTTTTAGATTCTTCTTGGCATTTCTCCATTTTCAGAGATAAGGTTGCTCCTTTCCTCTGGGCATAAGGAGGGCACCTCTCATTAGGGAGTCTTAAGACCTGCTTCAGGGGAAGGTCACAGAGTCCTGCTAGCACCTACCATTTCTCAAATTTCTTCTGCTTAAAAAATTAAATAGGCCAAGATGTCATAATTTGGGGTACTATGTCATGAACCCCATCACAATATTCTTATTTAAATAATACTAGCTAGTAATTCCCAAAAAATTTCTGTGTGATAGGATTCATGTTAAATCTTTTGTCTGGATTATCACATATATTCCTTATATTATAATAAAATCATATGGCAGATTATTGTACTGCCTCCTTTTACACATGAAGACAGCAAGGCTAAAAGATTTAAGTTGCCCCCAAAATAACTTGCTAGACATGACAGAAATAGAATTTGGAACTTTGTGTCAGACTCCATAGTCCACATGCATAATTATACCCCATTGCCCTATTGTGTATGGAAATAGTATATTAGGCGGAGTAGTTTTGCCTGTTTTTTCACTTTACTTCTTTTGAACTGAGAGTAGTATGTTGCATTCCCTTATTACCAGTGTATTTTATAGGACCCCTTTATCTTCATGATTTCTGGTTTATATTGTGATTGTCAGGTGATTTTGTACATAGATATTCACAAATATTGTATTTACATTATTGATTATGGACTTTAGTGCTATAGAGTGTTCATCTAAAGACAGGTAGAATTCTGCTTTCTTGTTACTTTAATTTTCTTGTATATCTTGCCCAACTCCTTCTTTAGTTTAGCTTTTTAAAATCACTATATTTGTCGCCTGTTGTTTATATTTCTTTTTAAAAAATACAGTTATTGCTTTAAGTACCTTAGAAAAGGCTTAATATGTCTTGAACTCTTAGTGAAGCAGAATTTTCTAGTAATTTTGGTATGTTCATGTTTCCATTTTCAAGATTTAAGTTTTTAATATCTTTTTTATACTACTAATTCTTGGCCGTCAATCCAATGTGATGCTCAGAGAGCCATTTACGGGGACAAATGAGAGAATTTCAGGTAAAAGAATTCCTCGAATTTTATATGTATATATATAAACACTTTCTATACTTTTGTAGTGGTTATCAACATAAAAGCAACAATTGCTTCTAAAATTGTAGCACAGTTAAAGATTTTATATTACTATTCATAACTTTCAAAAAGTTGGCACTTGTATTGTAAACAACATTTAGTACCAGTTCTCAAATTTATAGTGTCATGTGTTCAGACATAGAGATGTCAGTTTCTATTGCACTAAATATAACTATGAGAGGGAACATGTCAAAATATACTACTAATTGAATACATCCAATAAAGTTCTAAAAACAACATACAATTCTTTTAATAACAAATGCTTTAATCAATTCTAAGTGATTTAAGTAAGATTATTACATTTTATTAAATGTTTTTTTCAAATGTAGTCAATATAAATAATACCCAAACTTGCAAAATATCAGAAGTAAACACATTTATATTATTGGATTAAAAATAACTTTAGTAAGAAATGTATTTTGCATTAATTTAGCACTTTTTCATTTTCTGTGTGTCTCACATACTTTTGCTATTGCTTGTAGATAGTGATTTTATTAAAGTAAACACCAAGGATAAAAACGATATAGAAATAGTAAGCAGAAGTCTTTGCCCATGCCTATGTCCTGAATGGTATTGTCTAGGTTTTTGCCAAGGAATTTTATATTTTTAAGTTTTACGTTTGAGTCGTTAATCCACCTTGAGTTATTTTTTGTATACAGTGTAAGGAAGGGGTCCAGTTTCTGTTTTCTGCATATGGCTGGCCAGTTTTCCCAGCACCATTTATTAAATAGGGAATCCTTTCCCCATTGCTTTTTTTTGTCGTATTTGTTGAAGATCAGATGGTTGTAGATGTGTGGTGTTATTTCTGAGGCCACTGTTCTGTTTCATTGATCTATATACCTGTTTTGGTACCAGTACCATGCGGTTTGGTTACTGTAGCCTTGTAATATAGTTTGAAGTCAGGTAGCATGATGCCTCCAGCTTTGTTCTTTTTGCTTAGGATTGTCTTGGCTATGCGGGCTCTTTTTGGGGTTCCATATGAAATTTAAAATAGCTTTTTCTAGTTCTGTTAAAAAAGTCAATGGTAGCTTGATGGGGATAGCACTGAATAAGGCCCTATAAATTACTTTGGGCAGTATGGCCATTTTCACAAAATTGATTCTTCCTATCCATGAGCATGGAACACTTTTCAATTTGTTTGTGTCCTCTTTTATTTCCTTGAGCAGTGGTTTGTAGCTTTCCTTGAAGAGGTCTTTAACATCCCTTGTAAGTTGTATTCCTAGGTATTTTATTTTCTTTGTAGCAATTGCAAATGGGATTTTACTCATGATTTGGCTCTCTGCTTGTTAATTATTGGTATATAGAAATGCTTGTGATTTTTGCACATTGATTTTGTATCCTGAGACTGCTGAAGTTGTCTATCAGCTGAAGGAGTTATTGGGCTTAGACGATGAGACTTTCTAAATATACAGTCATGTCATCTGAAAACAGAGACAATTTGACTTCCTCTCTTCCTATTCAAATACCTTTATTTCCTTCTCATTCCTGATTGCTCTGGCCAGAACTTGAAATACTATGTTGAATAGGAGTGGCAAGAGAGGGTATCATTGTCTAGTGCCAGTTTTCAAAGGGAATGCTTCCAGTTTTTGCCCATTCAGTATGATATTGGCTATGGGTTTGTCATAAATACCTTTTGCCATTTTGACATATGCTTCATCAATACCCATGACTAAAACAACAAAGGCAATTGCAACAAAAGCCAAAATAGACAAATGGGATCTAATTAAACTAAAGAGCTTCTGCTATATAAAAGCAAGTATCATCAGAGTGAACAGGCAACCTACATACTGGGAGAAAATTTTTGCAATCTATCCATCTGACAAAGGTTTAATATTCAGAATCTAAAAGGAACTTAAACAAATTTACAAGAAAAAAAAACAACCCCATCAAAAAGGGGGCAAAGGATATGAACAGACACTTCTCCAAAGAAGATATTTATGTGGCCAACAAACATATGAAAAAAAAGCTCATCATCACTTGTCATTAGAGAAATGGAAATCAAAACCACAATGAGATACCATCTCATGCCAGTTAGAATGGCGATCATTAAAAAGCCTGGAAAAAACAGATGCTCCTGAGGATGTGAAGAAATAGGAATGTTTTTACACTGTTGGTGGGAGTATAAATTAGTTCAACCATTGTGGAAGACAGTGTGGTGATTCCTCAAGGATCTAGAATCAGAAATACCATTTGAACCAGCAATCCCAGTACTGAGTATATACCCAAAGGATTATAAATTATTCTACTATAAAGACACATGCACACATATGTTTATTGCAGCACTATTTACAACAGCAAAGACTTGGAACCAACCCAAATGCCCATCAACGATAGACTGGATAAAGAAAATGTGGCACATACACACAATGGAATACTATGCAGACATACAAAAGAATGAGTTCTTGTCCTTTGCAGAGACATGGATGAAGCTGGAAACCATCATCCTCAGCAAACTAACATAGGAACATAAAACCAAACACTGCATGTTCTCACACATAAGTGGGAGCTGAACAATGAGAACACATAGACACAGGGAGGGGAACATCACACACAGCGGACTGTCAGGGGCTGGCGAGAAAGAGGAGGGAAAGCATTAGGACAAATACCTAACGCATGTGAAGCTTAAAACCTAGATGACAGGTTGATAGGTGCAGCAAACCACCATGGAACATGTATACCTATGTAACAAACCAGCACGTTCAGCACGTCTATCCCAGAACTTAAAGGAAAAAAAAAAAAAAAAAGAAATAGGAAGCAGAATATTAAAAATGTAGATTTTTATATTTTTCTTTTTTGTCTAAAAGTGTTAATGTTATTGATAGACAGATACCTATAAATAATAATGAAATCAGCACAAAGCTTATTTAAACAAAGAGCATCCATTGTTATTGTATAATAAGCACTCATTAGATTGAATGGTTGAAGAAACTTTTGTTCTGAAGGAGAAATGGTTTCCATGAGGTTAGATTGCTCTCATTATGATTAAACCGGTAAATATCTACAATAATTATCTTGCCAAAAGTGGCATCAGTTAATTTACACTTGATATGTAGGTGTTTGGATGCATCTATAGAAAGTAGTAGATTTACAAATGTTTATTGATCTATAAATTCACCAGCCAAATGATAATTCACTCCATAAAGGGCACCTGGTTTTTTGACTGGCAATAGGAACAAAAATCCACGTAATTAAATATATATATATAATTTATATATACAAATATATATAGTTTATTTCAAAGTAATCACTCAAAATACAAATGCCTTCTTAGTACCTTAATGAGTTTCACAAAACCTTACATTGCATTTATTCTATATGAAACTATATTTCATTCTCACCACTTAAAAATCTTCTTATAAATATTTCCATATTCGAATTGTTTAAAGTCTTATATACTTTCAACATTTTATTAGGCTTTATAAATGTATTAATATGAACAACTGACAAAACTGTAGAGACCTAATATAATTCAAGTGATGTTAGTTTTTTTTGTGTTTTTTGCTTGTTAACTTGATAAATTGTATTGTATTTCAAGCCATTTATAACTAATGGCATGTGAGAAGAGTTGTTCAATGTTATGGGTAATGAAATTAAGAGACAGATGAAAGGATAAATTGAAATAAATCAGATAAAAATAAAAACTAAGCTAAGTTTGCAAGACTAAGTGATTTAGTAATCCAAAGAAAATTTTTCTGTATTGGACATTAAGGAAGCTCACCAACATTCATATTACTGAGAAAAAAACTGGAGTGAAGCTCTCATTTGAATACAGAAGTTGTCACATGTGTGTAGGTTAAAAGCTTTTCATATGCTCAGTATCCAAACATGATTATAAAAGACATTTCGAGCTAAGTAAAATCAACTGTTAAAACAAGAATAAAGTACAAGACCAGAGATAATCAACTCCAAATGTTGGAAACCAGGGTGTTCAGACATAAGTGTAATTATGCTTTATATATTCTTAGGTATACATACACAAAAGAAGACAAGAAGTTTTCACTTTGAATTGTTGGCTTATGGTTGAAAGTCCATTATCTCAGAGGAACTCTGCTTTAAATCCTTCCACCATACCATCTGAGCAATGGGGATGCCCTACTTTGTGATGAAAGTTATAATTTTTCTTACCATGTATCCCATTTTTAAATTATCATAGATGTTTGAGACAATTATAAAGCCAGGAAAACAGAAAAATGAAGTCAAATGAAGTACTATATTGGAGTCAGTGGTCCAGATTTATTTAGAACAATTTTTATGCATATGTAAGTGATCATAGGACCAAAATTACCAACTCGTATTCACAAACTCCTATTCACGTTCTTTTGCCTTAGTACAGAATTTCTTTTTCCACAGAAACTCTGTTTTCTCAATTCTACTGCAATCATTTTATACAATCTTTTGCAATATTTCAAAGTCTTTCTAGGAATAAGTTTAAAAATATGTTCAGATTATTTAACACTATGCAAACCAATATATAATGGTATAAGAGAAAATTCTTATAATTGTCATGGGATAAAATACAAAGATTAAAACAAAAACAAAAAGAAAGAGTATACCAAATAATCTTTACATACTGCTGATTATAAAATAACATTAAAAAAAACATATTCCTAAAAATTCCCAGGCATTGTTTCTATATTACTACCTAATAAAGGAATATAATTATATAAACAAAATAAATGGATCAGTTTTATCAATAATAGTAGTCATATCCTAATATGTTCAAAAATTTAAAAAAATAGGAAAAAATATGAATTTGATTTGTCTTATCCTCAAATTATAGTATCAATAAAATTTGCAAAGTCACTAAAAGTCCATTATTCAGTCTTTTTAGGAAGTATATATTCAGTTTAATGCCATTCTGACAGAGCTACTATACAGGATAAATATTTATCTTTAAATATATACTTTATTTTTCCCCCAATTTTAAGAGTGTTTTATAAGTCTATCTAGATAATCTTTTATAACATATGCAGTTTACAACTTCTGAGATTTAAAAAATAAATCCTAATATTTTACCCCCCAAAGTTTTATTTGGGGATCTCTGTTGCTAGGACAAGATTCCTTGGAGATCAAATTGCTCAGTCACTTCCTTTCATAGAGGACAGGCTGAGGTCCAGAAAAGTGCAGTGCAAGAATAAGGACAGATTAGATTTCTTGAGTCACAGGTCTACGTCTTTCACATCAACACTTTGTCTCATGCTGATTAAAAAAAAAAAAAAAAAGGCAAAACATGAAAACGTGAGCCATTTCACTTTTTAAGAGGCTATTTCATCATAAGTATTCTCTAGATTGTAATTATTTGTTACAATGTCTAATTTTGCCACCCTGTGTATTTTGGATTTAACTACTCAAACAATTTAAAATTCCACAAACACAGAACTAAATTCTAGCTTTATTCTTAACTGCTTTTTTTGTTTCTTGATCAGCAAGCCAACTTATTTGCACAATCTACTACAAACGAAAGAAAACAGATGGTGTGAGATGACTCTATTCTCAAATTGCTAATTATAAAGAGCCAAGTCACCTTAATTTTCATGATAGTCATTCTAATATTCATTTTCCAAATTTCATCAGTAAAAAACTATTAAAGAGGTAGAAAATATGAAATGATATCTATGATATCTGTGTTTCATTAGAATTTCTGTATGTGTTTGCTAAGTAAATGCCATAGCTCAATTATTCAACTGACATTCATACAGAGGAATTCTATCCATCTGTTTCAGCTTATTTTAAATGAGAACATTGAAGAAAATGAACTTATAATAACATATGGTGACCAAGTTCATTTTGGATTTTCCACACTATTGACAAACTCAGAGAAATTATCTTATGCAAATACATATGTTCATGAGCCAAAGTTTTCCTTCTAGCATGGCTATTGTTCAGAGGAAGGAAGGAAAATCATGCTTTTTCTATTGGTGTCAGTTACATGCAGTACTGTCAGTCCTGCCTAGAATTGGATGACATACATGCTGCATATTTCGCTTCAAGACTATAATTTTGTTTACTGATTTTAAAGTGCTTTAAAATTTACTGTTTAAAGATGAACTTATACTTACATTAAACAGAATCAAACTTATTGGATTAGTAAAAGGCAAACTCCACATTTAATAGCTTTATAAGGCTAACCAGTCCTACACAGGGATAAAAGATGCTGAGTATAGCTTTCTAATTAGATAATACAGTGCCCAGGATTGTTTTACTTTCCTTTATGGCCCTATAATTAACTTTTATTCAGAACTGGACAATGCACAGTGTCAGAATATTTTACAATTCATGTTGCAACATTTTGGTGTATTATTTAAATCTTAATAGACAGATTTGAGTCTCTTTGTTTTATTTCATTTGCTTTCATTTTACTTTATTGAGAAGATTTTAATATTGTGAAATATTAATGAAAGGAAATAGAATACTATGCAGACATAAGAAAGGATGAGTTCATGTCCTTTGCAGGGACATGGATGAAGCTTGAAACCGTCATGCTCAGCAAACTAACACAAGAACAGAAAACCAAATGCCGCATGTTATCACTGATAAGTGGGAGTTGAACAATGAGAACACATGGACACAGGGAGGGGAACATCACAAACCGGGGCCTGTCAGTGGGTGGAGGGCTAGGGGAGGGATAGCATTATGAGAATACCTAATGTAGACGACTGGTTGATGGGTGCAGCAAACCACTATGGCATGTGTATACCTATGTAACAAACCTGCATGTTCTGCATATGTACCCCAGAACTTAAAGTATAATAAAAAAAAATAAAGTGAAAAAAAAGTAAGAGCTATGTCTTATCTATTCCAAACTATTCTTTGGTTTTGGAGTTCTACACAGAAAAATGTAGAAATCTATTATTCCAGGAAAAATTCTAAGCATTTTTTCTAATATTACTCTTTATTTACATAGATCTTATATATATCTCCATATTTTAATGTTCCTTATAATCCCAGTGCCACCCACCTTGACTGAACTGTTCTCCACATTTGCAACCAGAAAGCACATAAATATATGGGACATCTAGGTGAGACTTGTGAAGTAGAATGACTCTTAAAACATAATGAATGTAATGAAGAAAGACAACAAATGAAGCACAGAGTGACACAGTTGGCTTAGTATGAGAATTGAGAAAAGATACAGGACTTTCAAAATTCGTAATTATTTTTATTATTTTATTGCTTAATTGACTTTCTATGTCTCTTTCACTGAGCACATAAGTCCATAAGAACAAGAGAGTTAAATGTATTATTCACCATTATATATCTAGTTTCTGGTAAAGTATTATATTTTATTTATTGATTCTCCTGATTTTCACCACCAACCCTTCATTTCACTTTCTGTACAATAAACTAATGATTGGTGTAATATTGCAGGGCAGAAAAATTTCAATACATATCTCACTTTTAAAAATGTTTTCTTCTATTTTGGTACCAGTACCATGCTGTTTTGCTTACTGTAGCCTTGTAGTATAGTTTGAAGTCAGGTAGCGTGATGCCTCCAGCTTTGTTCTTTTGGCTTAGGATTGACTTGGCAATGCGGGCTCCTTTTTGGTTCCATATGAACTTTAAAGTAGTTTTTTCCAATTCTGCAAAGAAAGTCATTGGTAGCTTGATGGGGATGGCATTGAATCTATAAATTACCTTGGGCAGTATGGCCATTTTTGCGATATTGATTCTTCCTTCCCATGAGCATGGAATGTTCTTCCATTTGTATCCTCTTTTATTTCACTGGGCAGTGGTTTGTAGTTCTCCTTGAAGAGGTCCTTCACATCCCTTGTAAGTTGGATTCCTAGGTATTTTATTCTCTTTGAAGCAATTGTGAATGGGTGTTCACTCATGATTTGTCTCTCTGTTTGTCTGTTATTGGTGTATAAGAATGCTTGTGATTTTTGCACATTGACTTTGTATCCTGAGACTTTGCTGAAGTTGCCTATCAGCTTAAGGAGATTTTGGGCTGAGAAAATGGGGTTTTCTAGATATACAATCATGTCAACAGAGATACAGACCAATGGAACAGAACAGAGCCCTCAGAAATAATGCCACATATCTACAACCATCTGATCTTTGACAAAGCTGACAAAAACAAGAAATGGGGAAACGATTCCCTATTTAATAAATGGTGCTGGGAAAAATGGCTAGCCATATGTAGAAAGCTGAAACTGGATCCCTTCCTTACACCTTATACAAAAATTAATTCAAGATGGATTAAAGACTTAATTGTTAGACCTAAAACCATAAAAACCCTAGAAGAAAACCTAGGCAATACCATTCAGGACATAGGCATGGGCAAGGAATTCATGTCTAAAACACCAAAAGCAATGGCAACAAAAGCCAAAATTGACAAATGGGATCTAACTAAACTAAAGAGCTTCTGCACAGCAAAAGAAAGTACCATCAGAGTGAACAGGCAACCTATAGAATGGGAGAAAATTTTTGCAATCTATTCATCTGACAAAGGGCTAATATCCAGAATCTACAATGAACTCAAACAAATTTACAAGAAAAAAACAAACAACCCCATCAAAAAGTGGGCGAAGGATATGAACAGACACTTCTCAAAAGAAGACATTTATGCAGCCAAAAGACACATGAAAAAATGCTCATCATCACTGGCCATCAGAGAAATGCAAATCAAAACCACAGTGAGATACCATCTCACACCAGTTAGAATGGCAATCATTAAAAAGTCAGGAAACAACAGGTGCTGGAGAGGATGTGGAGAAATAGGAACACTTTTACACTGTTGGTGGGACTGTAAACTAGTTCAACCATTGTGGTAGTCAGTGTGGTGATTCCTCAAGGATCTAGAACTAGAAATACCATTTGACCCAGCCATCCCATTACTGGGTATATACCCAAAGGATTATAAATCATGCTGCTATAAAGACACATGCACACATATGTTTACTGTGGCACTATTCTCAATAGCAAAGACTTGGAACCAACCCAAATGTCCAACAATGATAGACTGTATTAAGAAAATGTGGCACATATACACCATGGAATACTATGCAGCCATAAAAAATGATGAGTTCCTGTCCTTTGTAGGGACATGGATGAAGCTGGAAACCATCATTCTCAGCAAACTATCACAAGGACAAAAAACCAAACACTGCATGTTCTCACTCATAGGTGGGAATTGAACAATGAGAACACGTGGACACAGGAAGCAGCACATCACACACAGGGGCCTGTTGTGGGGTGGGGAGAGGGGGGAGGGGGGAGGGATAGCATTAGGAGATATACCTAATGCTAAATGACAAGTTAATGGGTGCAGCACACCAACATGGCACATGTATACATATGTAACCAACCTGCATGTTGTGCACATGTACCCTAAAACTTAAAGTATAATAATAAAAAAAGGTTTTCTTCTGTAAAATGTGGACTTTACTAAATAGCTTTTTATTAGCACAATGAGTGGCATAATCTTTTCATAAGTCCTGAGAGAGATTGAGTCAGAAGGGGAGAGAGAGAGAGAATATATCCAGTATGTTGAAACAAAATAAGTCTGAAATGAAAGTACAAAATAAGTGTATAGCTTAGAAGGAATTTGATATTGAGACAGAAATTTCTACTCTTCAATACCATAGAAAAATATTTTCTAAACTGAAAAAGTTCAAATTGATATTGAATCACTGCCAAAAATTCTACAGTTTTATTCTCTTACCACTGGTCCTGTTCTCCTTATCTTTCTTACATTTATCTTTGAGTGTTTATCTCTTTGCTAACTTTAATTAGCATATTTTAAAAATGTGCGATCACTATTCTCATTTAAAATATTATCTATGAGGAATATTTTCTATATTTTTACCTTGAATATAGATAATTCAGCATGAACTTATGCGTCTCAAATTATATAATGGCAGGTTTCCCTGCTCTTTTGATCAAAAGTATTCTCCGAATCTCAAAAAATGTTAGAGAGATGACAGAGATAGATAGATAGATGATAGATAGATAGAATGATGATTGATAGATAGATAGATAGATAGATAGATAGATAGATAGATAGATAGATAATGTACCATTTTCTAGTTTAAGGTAGGTCAATAGAAAGGCTTTACTTGATTTTATGGCATTTCCAATCATATTAGCTTAAACATGGAACTGAGAAATACTGTTAGAGCAGTTATATTTTATACTGAACACATCTATAAGAAATTTGTCAAAAAGTTAATGCATATATCAGACTACATGTTGAGAAGTTTCCTCAGAATGTAGTTATGATTTCTTTCTCCTGTAAAATAACAGCTAACCCTATTTGGCTTGGATATTAAATGCATTTCACTTTTGTAATATAACATGATTCAGAGATAACTTTTTTGTTTTAATAGAAAAAATGTCTCACCATGTTGCCCACTCTGGTCTTGAATTCCTGGGCTTAAGTGATCCTTCTGCTTTGGTCTCCCAAATTGCTGGGATTACAGGCATAAGCCATTGTGCCTGGCCCAGAGGTAACATTTTGTTAATTAGCGTGATTTGGATATGAAAATATCCACACTTTCATCTTTCTAAATTTTATAAGTAAAGAAAATATTTATAAGTACAAACTTTTCCTCCAAAAAGTTCTTAAAAGAAAATAAATCAATGAGAATTGACTTAAAAATGGAAACACACCCCTGCTGTGTATCTCCCTTCAACATTTTATTTTCTTAAATTAGATTTTAACATAATTGTTTTTATTTTACTTACTTTACTTTTTTATTATTTTTCAATCCCATATATATATATGAAGCTACCTGAAGAAAGTAATTTGATAAACTTATTTGGCTTAATATTTCTACATCTAAAATATAGTGAGTTTTAGTATAGTTCTGGATACTAAATAAATACTGAATGTGTCAGTGAGTACCTGGCTTCTGATGCAATGGCTTTGGAGTTGATGGATCTCTAAATCATTAGCAGTCTTGCTTCAAATGTACAGCATGGGAGGAATAACACATGATTATGAGAGAAAATGATTAAAAATAAGATAACAGTCAGGAGTGTACTGGTGCTGTGGTTGTTGTATCCATCCTATCCAGAAGGTATTTGAGCTATACCTCTATTTCTCTGTGTTTCTGGTAGTCAGACAAGGTGGATCTCAAACAGCTGGGTTGTTATTCAGAAGGAGCCTTTAACACTGTATATGCCTTATTTATCTTGAGCAACATATATCTGACCCATCACTATATCTATCTGGGAGCAAAGCAGTAGTATATCGGTGGAAAGTGGTGGGGAATAGATATCATTGTAATAATTTTCTTTGTTTTCTCTACATGAAGTACAAGATACCCTAAACTTTTTACAGTTTCAAGTTTGCATGCTCAGTTAAAGTATTTCAATAGGATTTTTAATGATTAATTTTACATTCAACAAAAGTTTATTGAGTGCCAAATATGTGTTAGGCATGATTTTGGCTACTAGAGATGCACTAACAAGCAAATTATCATTATGTGCATTCAAAGAGCTTACACTGTCATGGAAAAAATGAATTAGACTACCAGTCAATAAATTGAATTTATTGAGAATCTCATTAGCAGCACCATTGAATATCTGCTAATTTATCCTTCTTAACCCAAATCCAAAAGAAATATTATGTCTTGAAAAAATAAATACATATTTGAGTTAAACTTTTCTAAAATATGACTTAAGAGTTGATAATAGAGCTCAAGAGTTTTAGTTTAAACCTAAAATATATACTACAGTGGCATGGTATTGTTTTCTATAGAATGTACACTTAAATATAAATATTAGAGAATAAACTCTCTTTTGGGAACACTTTGTAAACTTGTTAGAACATAATATCAGATAAAATGTTAATAAAAAGCTAATAAATTCTAATAATAAACATACAATCAATAATAATATTATTAGTAATTACCTCATCATTAGATCATTTTATTTTATAGTAGATAAGCATATAATTTTTGGTTGAAGGTTGCCTCAGATTGAACTGTGGCCGTGTATTTTTTCTTTTCTTTATTGCATGAAAATACAAGCAGAATCTGCAGAAAAATTATTTCAGTAATAATCAACGTGCTATATGTAAAGTTTATTTACAGAAATTTCACTATCTTGGTCTTTCCTAATTTTATAGTGTACTTAACAAATGCAAGGCATGTTTTAAAAAGAAGTCTACAGAGAAAAACAACAGTGCTTTTTATTTAAACTTATTAAAGCAAAATTTTAGTTTATTATTATTTACTGTAGTCTGAATGTGCGAAGCACAGCTATTTAGAGAAGTTGTATGAAAAAATAAAGGGCCCAAGCAATGCAACATTTTTGAAAGCTCTTTTCATAAAATATATTGTATTTTTGACCCCTTTTAAAGGCTAAGAAATGAAAAATACCATATGCCACAGTCACCAACATACTTAAAAGAGACGAAATTGTGACTATGAAAACATTTTTTAAAATGATACAGATGTCATTGAAGGAAACAACTGGTATCAGTTAAAGGCAAAGCTGACAGATGCATGCCATTAGGGTTTTGACACTGAAATAGAGAAATGCAGTACGATCGATATCGAAAATGACAAGAAAGCAAAGTATAGCAAAAGTCAGGAACTTCTAAATAATGTTATCCAAAACCATAATTTAATCTTATATTATCTGTTAACGTTTTATTATTTAATAGTGTTCTTTTTATAAAGAATTTATTTTAAATGATATTTTGTTTTCAACATCTTTCTCCAGGTTGTTTTTTCTCATTGCTCTTTTAAATTATGGAGACAGTGGATATGGTCATCAAGACATATAAGGTAATTAATTTCATAATACATTATTAAATAGTTGATTCAGTAGTCCAAAGGCTTATTATAACATGTAAGTATTGCTAAGAATTAAAAAGTAAACATAGTATATTACAGAGTAAATACAGATAATAAAGGCAAAATAAAGTAAGAGATTTTGGATCCATGAAATTTATTAAAAATCCTTCAAACAGAAAGAAAAATAAATAAATACATATAATGAGAAAAAAATAAATGCCTTCTATCAACCAGAAATTATGGGAATAGATAGCAAGTGAACAGAGTAAATGACAAAGTGGAATAAACCAGAGTGCAATAAATACAGCACAGAAAAAAGCCAGGTGAAGGTAAAGGCAGAATTGAAGAAATGCCTACATCAAATGAACACATACAAAAGCAGAAAAAGAAGCAGTAAAATCCCCAAGGTAATTACAAATTTGCATTCTCAATTGTTGGATTCATTACCCTTCACTGATACCCAGTTCTCCCAGATAGAATGAAAGAAGAGACTCCCTCATGGGCATTTACCTATGTTAAATTCTAAAGCTAACACT
The DNA here is from genome assembly GCF_000001405.40 of Homo sapiens. Taxonomy (NCBI): domain Eukaryota; kingdom Metazoa; phylum Chordata; class Mammalia; order Primates; family Hominidae; genus Homo; species Homo sapiens. Next base: position 116,446,685 of record NC_000004.12, read on the forward strand.
CTTAAGAAAGTGGGCAGCCCTCCTAATGTGGGTGTAGATGTTCAAGAGTAATGGAGAACAGTGTTTGTAGACCTCACAACACATTCAGGAAGTCAGAAAGAAGCAATTCAAAGAGAAAAATACAATAATACCCTTCATCACAAAACAAAGTTCCCAAGACAGAAGGGATGAGGAGGTGTAAAACAGACTAAATATGACCAATAAGAGTAGAAATAACAAGAAAGTATGGAAACAAAAAGCATAGTAGCAACAAAAACAACAAAAATAATGTAATTAACAATAATAAATTATTATACAGTTACAATACAGCTATTTATTACTTACGAATTATTTATTATTCTAGGTCTTATTCTAAGTACTCGATTTGTTATTAACATATTTAATGTTCCTGACAATCACAGAAAGTAAGTACTGTTTTTTTCTGCTAGTGTCAGATAAGAGAAAACAGGCATAGAGAGTTTAAGTAAATTGTGCTTGGTCATATGATCAATGTGTAATGGCTACAGATTCTTTGACTTTAAGTAAAGGGAAACAATTAGGTCAATTAAGTACATTATCCAGTCAAAAGTTAAGAAACATTAGAAATGTTATTTGAAAGCAGGCATTTGATCTTCAGAAATATATGAGATTAATCACACTCTATCAAATCTCTCAAAATGTAATATTAGTAAAGGATGGCATTTTTTTTAAAAAAAGAGACATACATAGGAAAATGTTTATACTGTTTTACCAAAGAATAAGTTTGAGAATACACCAACATTTTGTACAAATCAATAACAAAAATAGAAACTAGCTCATAGATATTTAGTTCTGTAAAAAACTAGGCTTTACGGAAAGTTTGTTATTTTCCTTGTTTCTCTTAAGCTACACTTCTCAAACCTTGGTAACCTTGAGACAGGCAGACAGACAGATACACAAACACACACACATAAACACACACACACACACACCCACTCAAAATTATGCACCAAATTGATAATCAGAAGTGTGTCTTATAATAGACATGTGTTCACAAAAAGTATTTATTGACTAAATTTTGGTTGAGGTCAGTTAAATGTTAAAGTGGAAAACAATATCTCCTCTTAAAAATTAATTACTTAGTTAATTAATTTTTGAGACAGGGTCTCACTCTGTTGCCCAGGCTAGAGGTTGGAGTGAGCCGTGATTGCACCACTGCACTCCAGACTCTTAGGCTCAAGTGATCCTCCCACCTCAGCCTCCCAAGTAGCTGGGATGATATGTGTGTGTCACCATGCCCAGCTATTTTTTTTAGTTTTTGATTGAGACAGGGTCTCCCTATGTTATGCAGGCTAGTCTTGAACTCCTGGGCTCAAGCGATCTTCCTGCCTTGAACTCCCAAAGTGGTGGGATTATAGGCATGAACCATTGTGCCACGCCAAAAATAGTATCTCTTAAACTGCATATATGATTTACCAATACTACAGCTACTGCTTTTAGTACCATCTCTATGAATAATGATTATATATTTATTCAGAAGGGTAACCAGATTTATATTTTATATCATATTTGAAAGATGACATACCCTATTTTATAACCATAGGTGGGGAGGGAATGCACACTGGACAAGGAGTCAAGTTACTGGAATCTTATCACTAGTTGTTCCACCTTTAACTATGTGAATTTAGGTAATAAATACAGTGCCTATTGTCTAATGTTTGGTAACAGTTAACAAATTGCTTTAACATACATGAACTCCTTTGATTGCCATACTGTGAATTAGATGCCATTATTATCTGTCCTTCAGTTTGAAACCTAAACTTACAGAGCTTAAATGCTTTTACTTAAGGTCTTTCCTATAGGGAAAAGGTAAACCTAGAAACAATTCAAGAATTTTGGCACTAGATAGAGTGCTTTTTAATAGACATTGTTTTGCATTTTTATATTAGATGTGAGAATCCAATTAAATATTAGATCTAGAAGTGGTAAGTAAACTATAAAAGAGTAGACAAACAGGCTCAAAGTCTCGATGATTTTTCTAAATTATTTCTGAAGATTCATTATTTCTTAAAATTATGAGTTAGTTCTAAAAGGCAGATAAAATATATTCATTAGAACTTTAAAATCATTCAAAATAAAAGTAGTAAGTAAACCAGTACAGAATTGTAGGGGAGGATTGATTTTTTTTTTCTTCAGCCCTCACTTGTTATTAGTTGGACTGGATCCCTGTAGCAAAAGACAGATTAACAAGAGAAAAAACAAACAGAAGTCTATTAGCATATATGTTTCATGTAAATATGGTGGATATTTAGGAAATGAGTGGTTCTCTAAGAGATGTCTTCAAATTCTAGCTTACATACATCTTCAACAAAAAAAAATAATAAATTTTTAGAGAAATGAGTCTCTAGGGGTTGCTGTTTCTGGAAAAGTTAGTAAATGGCAGATAAAGGATAGTTAGTAAACCTTATTAATATAGATTCCTCAGGTGCCATCTTCAGGCAGATAATGGTCTAAAGTTGTCCTGTACAGTTTATCTTTATTCTGCCTGGCAGAAGATGGGGCAAGATGACTTTTATCTTTGTAAATGTATGGCTTGCTTTTAGAAAAATAAAGAGGGCAGAAAACTTTTCTGAATCTGCTTCTTCTTAATTGCCTTCAATTAAAACAATCCAATGCCAAAAAAGCCTAATTGTGGCTGCTATATTCTAGTCTCCCACAGTATAAAAGTATAAAAATAAATGTGGAAGTCTTCTTTCTTTGTACCCTGATCTATCTTCACTCCCTAGAAAATCTACCATTAATCTACAATCACACACATATATAGGCTGTTGCTTATTCTATATGAACCTAGTTATTGAAAAAATTAGTTATAGAAAACTATCTAATAAGTAATTATACATTAACCTACGTGTGTGATAGTTAATTTGTGTTAACTTGACTGGGCTAAGGGATGCCTAGGTAGCTGGTAAATCATTATTTCTTGCTGTTTTTGTAAGAGTGTTCCCAGAAGAGATTAACATTTGAATCAGTAAACTAAGTAAAGAATACCTTCCCTCACCAGTGTTAGTGGGCATTATTCAATTTGTTGTAGGCCCGAATAGGGAAAAATGGTGGAGAAGGCAAATTTATGATCTTGTCTGGAGTTGAAAAATCCATCAGTATTACTGGTTTTCAAGCCTTTGGACTTGGACCACTAGTTCCCCAGATTCTTAGGCTTTCAGCTTGGACTAGACATAAATCATCAGCTTTTCTGGGTTTCCCATTTGCAGATGGCAGATCATGACATATTTCAGCCTCCATAAATGCATGAGCTAATTCCTCATGACAAATCTCCTATTGGTTCTGTTTTTTCAGGAACACTGACCAATACATGTAGTTAACTGAATGCAATTCAGGAGTCGGAGGGTACTATCTATGATAAATGTGATGACTTGCAAAGCACAACAGGCAGCTGGTAAAAATAGTTTTCTACGTATTTTTTCTCTAACAATAATGTATGCAATTTGAAATGAACTTATAAGTTAAAAACTCTGAAAACAATCTACAAATATCTAAACTGTGTGAAATCCCAGCTCTTCCTTTGAGTTCACATCACACTAGATTTTTTTTTCATTTTTAGCGAAGGTTTTTTAATAACACAGAAGAAAAAAAGAAGTACAAAGATTTATAGACTATGTCACAAGATTCTTAGAGATTACTGTTTCTCTTTGATTCCTTCTTTTATGAAAACATTTTTCTTCCATGTCTCAGTAAAGTTACTTCTCTTTTACTACAAGTACGAATTTTCTTTTTTCTTATTGTGTGGTACTTTGAATTTTTTAAATCCTGGATTTAAGCCTCGGAATACCACAGCAACACAAACAAACAAATATACAACATAACACATGTAATATTACTTAACTTTATGAGCCTGCCAACAATTTTAGATGACCTTCTCTTAGAGATAAAATAATTAAAATAAAAAAATTTAAAACTTGTGAGATTGAATAACCTTGGTAATAGGTTTTTCTTTTTCTTTTTTTTTTAACAGGGTCTTGCTCTGTCACCCAGCATGGAGTGCAGATCTTGGCTCACTGCAGCTTCTACCTTCAGGGCCCAAGGAATCCTCTCACCTCAGCTTTCCAAGTAGTTGGGACCACAAGTGCACACCACCATGCCTCGCAAATTCTTGTATTTATTGTAGACATGGGGTTTTGCCATGGTGCCCAGGCTAGTCTCAAACCCCTGAGCTGAAATGATCTACCTCCCTCAGCCTCCCAGAATGTTGAGATTACAGGTGTGAGCCACCATGCCCAGCCGACTTCTTGAATTAATTAAATTATCCTCAATTGATTAAATTGGATTTTTGAAAACTGAGCTTTATAGTGGGAAACAGCTATAAAATACTCCAATTTTACTTTTTGTTAAATCTACACATCTACAAATATGATATGCAAATGTATTTATTAAAATATACATCTTGGTTGTATGTGTTGGCTGATGCCTATAATCCTAGCACTTTGGGAGGCCAAGGTAGGAGTATCGCTTGAGCTCAGGAGCTCCAGACCAGCCTGGGCCAAATAATCAGCCCTCATCTCCATACAAAAAAAATTAAAAAATTAGCCAGACATGGTGGCGAGCAACTGTAGTCTCAGCTACTCGAGTGGCTAAGGCAGAAGTATAACTTGCGCCCAGGAGTTCAAGGCTGCAGTGATCTGTGACGGTGCACTGCACTCCAGCTTGGGCCACAGAGCAAGGCCTTGTTTCAAAAAAAAAAAAAAGGAGAAGAAGAGAAGAGAAGGAAAGAAAATAAAATGTACATTCCAAAGATGCTATAAGGGCATATTTTTGTGGACTATACATTACAAAGGATCTATATAGATAGTAGCATTATTATATTCAATTATGCAGCCATGTTTTCTGTAACTAAATTTTTCATAAAGAAATAAAAATATCATGATAATGGGAACAAAAATATACATTTGTGTGTATGTTTTTGTTTCTTTTTTAAGATGTCAAGCCTGAATCTGTTTGCTATAATGATACTTTTTGCTTTTTTTTTTTCTTCTACATTACAGCTTCTGGTTTTAAATATAATTGTGGGCAATCTTCATGTTAAGGCCATTTTCAAATGAAGTATTTAATTCAACTGTCTGTAAACTTAGATTTGATAACCTTGGCTGCTACTTTAGATAACATATCCTTAATAAGTAACAGGATCAATCAGGGAGAATTATATTTCTACTCAACATTAAGTATTCTGTCTTTTCTAATTTAATAAACTGTTCAATATCTTGCAACCACTTAGCAAATTCTAATTGACTTGAAAGGCAAAGTCAGAATAAGTTAAACTTTTTGAAGCTGGATTTACACTGCCACAACGTGAAGGTATAATTTAATACATTTAGTAAGTAACAGACCATACTAGGTAACTGGAAAGAAGTACAGCTTCCTAATGCCCTAATATATTTGTACCACTACTTTTAAATTATTTTTAGTAAAATACATCTATATATTAATTTTTGGATAATCAATAATGTTTTAAAAATAGAATTAATGTGCAGAAAACAAAACAAGTAAAAGTTAAATCTATAATTCTTTGGTAACTCATATTTAAATATAATTGATAGAATAGTAGAATTTAATACAAATTGTTTGTTTGTTTTTTGAGACACAGTCTCGTTCTGTCACCCAGGTTGGAGTGCAGTGGTGCCATCTCGGCTCACTGCAACATCTGCCTCTGGGTTCAAGCAATTCTCCTGCCTGTCTCGTGGTCTGCACAAATTCCATTACCTAATTTGAAATCCTGGTCTAGTCTGTATGAATCAATATTCAAGATCACATCTACTTCAGCAACAAAAGCCTCCCGAGTAGCTGGGATCACAGATGTGCACCACCACGCCCAGCTAATTTTTGTATTTTTAGTAGAGACGGAGTTTCGCCATGTTGGCCAGGCTGATCTCAAACTCATAGCCTCAAGCGATCTGCCTGCCTCAGCCTCCCAAAGTGTTGGGATTACAGGCGTGAGCCACAGCACCTGGCCTAAATTTAATTTAGAAATATATTCTTGACCCCTTATTCTTTTGTATACATCAATCTGTATACTCATTGTATAACTAGCAAAAATTTAGACTGTGAATTCTGCAAGGAAAAAAATAACAATACTTAGCGGGAGTTTACTTTGCTTGCAATAAGTTTATTTTTCTTTTTAATGCTCCCATTTTCTCTTTCTAGGGATATGATTCTGAGGAAAGGGACTGCAGCATTGCTTGGTTGCTAATTTTATTTTTCTCCTTAGTATGATAGAGAGAGATTATGTAAAGACTGTAGAAAGATCTTTTTTCTTGTCAGAGAGACATTTGTCAGAACAAGTAGATTATTTTGTAACAAACTTTCTGGCACGTGGAAAAGTAGAATCGGTTTGAGAATCAGGGCTCAGCAGACCCTCTACCTTGTCACAAGGGACAGAGGGCTTTCTGTATCCCCGGGTTTCTTGTCCTGGTGTACCAGAAGAATTGGATCACACGTGGGCTTGGAGAATGAATGCGAGGTTTTATTGAGTGGAAGTAGCTCTCAGCAGATGAGGAAGCCAGAGGGAAATGGTTTTTCCCTGGAGTCAGGCCGGGTCAGCGGCCGGGGTTCTCCTCTGAAGGCCCCCGCCAAACGCTGCCTTGTCCCGACCGTGGATGGCCTGCCAGCGTGCTGGCGTCCGTCAGCGTGCTCTTCTGTCGTGGTGCTCCCTCAAGGTCCTCTCGCTATCCAGCCGCTTCTTTCTTCTTCCGCTGATGTGCTCCTCTGGAGGTCTGGCCGCCTGTGTGCTGGCCCGCTAGGGTCTTGGGTTTTATAGGCCCAGAATGGGGGTGCAGCAGGCCAGGGTGGCCTTGGAAAATGCAACATTTGGGTGCCAAAGCAGGAGTGCCTGTCCTGACCTAGGTCCGTGGGGGTAGAACCTCAGCCAGCGACTGGACTTTATCCAGAACTTCCCTTCCCCGCTTCCATATCATTTAAAGGGACCGCGGTCTTTCCTTTCCAGCACTCCTGTATCAATATAAACACTGAAAATATGACAAAATACAATACTATTCCACATACTTATGACTTAAATATATTAATCTTTAATTTAAATTAGAAAAATAATAAAGTATACATAAAATAAATTTAAGCAGTATCAAACCGTCATATCCAATACACAAATGACTTAGTGAGTCACAATAATTAATGAAAAGTATAGGAGTCACATCTGTTTCTATCTAGGATGGACTAATATGGATCAAATTTATATTCGCCTTAAAAGAAAAAATATATGAAATATTTTTTCATAACACTGAACATCAGGCAATGATAGTGATTGAGTAAAGGGAAAAAGTCACTGAATAAAGGAAAACAAAAGAGATGGCCTCTATAATTGGCCTATATACTGCCCTGAAAGAGTTTCTAGCAGCTAAGGTGTAGGAAGCAAAAATCAAATTTTGCAAAAGATAAAAATGTATATTTATACATAGATTTATACTAAGCTAAATTTTTAAGTTGAAATTCTTTGCTATAGAACTTTAAAGCTAAATAAGACAATTTCAATGAACTATCACTGGTCGGTAAAGTAACATCTCCTTCCGTTCAGTATAGCTTCTGAGATTCAGATCTGGGGTCTCATTATTTAACAAAATTATTCTACAGTTACGCTGTGCATTTATATACAAGGGAGTCCTCTGAACTGGCAATTATTGAATTATGATATTTTAATTTGATATTGTTTTCTAAATAAAACCCAATATATAAAGTGGTCTGCCCAAATTCCATTCCTTAATCTGAAATCCTGGTCTTGTCTGTATGAATCTATATTCAAGATCACATCTACTTCAGCAACAAAAGGCACTTTGTGTTCTCCTCTCTGTTTGAGTCTTTCTAATAATGTTGCACTTCTATATAATTTGCAATTTACTATACAAACACTCTGTTTATTTTCCACCCATATTACTTAGTGCAACTATTGTAAAGAAGATGAGTTTTAGGGAATATAAAAGCTAACCTGAGACTGCACTTCCTAAAGTGTCAGGCATATGTGTCTGTTTATAACCTACAGGCTGAGAAGCATTTGGCCAGAGTACTCAGCACAGGGAAATAATGGAAATTACTTAGATCATTGAAAGAGGATTAGTGGTAAAATTAAGCAAAACTGTGTGCCTCTGTACCTGCTTTATTACTCTGCATTACAGGCTGCCTGAATGACAAAGTTAACCCTGTCTCTATGCTGTGCTTCATGAAGCCATTTAGAAATTCAGTCTCTTCTTACTTTAACCATTAGTGAAGTAAATAAGTGTATGATGGATTTTCCTCATCGGGTCAATAAAAATCAGTTTCAAAATAATTCATTACATATAACTTTGGTTTAGCTTCCTTAATGTTGCTTGGATAAATAATTTTCGTATTGGTATACATTTCTAAAATAAAACAAAATATCAGTGACGTTTAATATGCTTGCCAATAAGTTGAATAATTGTTACCAAATGCTAACCTTTTCTTATATGAGTTAGTTATACTATACTAAAGTAGGTAAAAGGAGGAAAAACAGTGTTACAATGAAGACAGAAAATAGCGCACAAATATCTTGCTGTCTTAATGATTAATTCAGATCACTTCAAACTTACTTTATCTGGAGTAATTTCTATTAATTGTGCGGAAGGTTGAAATGCATAAGTCAATTTGGCCAGAAGCACAGACTGTTCCATGCAAAGAAGGCCCACCAGGGAAGCTGTATCAGAAAACTAATCACAAGCATTATGAGTTAGGAAAGTTGAAATTAACCCACTGTGCTCATGCATGTACATATAAAACAGAAAAATTAAATAGAAATTAAAGTTGTACAAATTATATATTACACACAGTACAATTTGTGCTCATGTAAGTAAATGGAATTTACTTACAGCATGTGCCTGTGTAAGTAAATGGAATTTACTTACAGCATGTGCCTGTGTAAGTAAATGGAATTCAAATATAGATCATTAGACTTCTAGTTACTTATATTTTGATTGTGCTGTCATTATTTAGCATATCTGTCACAGACAAATATGGATTTTACTGGAACTAATTCCTTCATAGGCTTGTTTTCCTCTCTTTTAAGATTAAACATTTAATTTTCTATAATGCCATATAAATCTTTTCATCATTTTATTCAGTATGGCAGAATTGAACATTCTGTAGATTGCTACCTTGACATGAGTAGGACTTTGTCTCCACTCCAATTTCATAAGACTTTATGTCTGTTATGGTATCTCTTGTACTTATCAGTTTACATAGCTATTTATGTGTGTGTGCATGTGTGTGTTTAATTCTGTGATCAATTCCTTGAAAGCAGAAAAACTTGCTTTTATTTTTTCCTCACACTAGTAGCATCGTGTCATGCATGTATTCTGGGAGTATTTATAAAACGAGAAAATCCAGAAAAAAATAAAATACCCCTCGATTTATAGTTATTGTGTAGATCTGGTTGATACCATCTAAGTTTTTATGAGTTCGTAATCTAGGTATGTATTAGATCCTACAATGACATACATTTGAATTTCCTTGTGTTGACGTGACAAACACCAAGGATAATATTATGTTTCATGTTGAATGTTTAAAGATTTTTTTTCCTAATTTATAAAAAACAGATTGTTTAGAGATGCTCATGTCACAACCTTTAATAAATACTTTCAAATTACATTTAAGAAATAAAAAAAATTATTGTGAAAACTTATATTTAAATTAAAAGTCTGCAATGTAAGACTCCAGGCTACCTAAGTTTATAAAGGCTTACTCCCTCACTTATACTTCATACTGAAATCTAGTGTATGCATTTAAAAGTAAAGATTTATTTGACATAAATTAGCCTTTCAGTCTCTTTACATTGGTGTAGTATAATAACTTATCCTATAATGCAGGCATAAATGATGATACAAATATTTTACAAGACTAATGTGTTTAGTAAATGAATTGTGTAAAAATTTACTTACACTAAGTAAAATAATATTTTTAAAAGAGAAATAGCTTACCAATATATGTTATCTAATAATATTAGCATATTTTTGTTAAAATTATAAGATTATAAGAATACATTATATTGGAACAGACATCATATCAATAGAGATTCATAAACATAGTTGCAGAATTTGACATATTATTTTCAAAATGTTAAAGATAAACTAATATTCCTTAATCTAACACATATATCTATTTCAAAAAAGCAGCAGTTCTTTTAATTTTAATATTAATGATTCAGTTATAGAAATTACTATTTACTTCTAATATTTGAAAAGTACATAGCATATAGGTAGTTTATAAAAAGCAACATATAATAAAAATGTGTAAATTAAATAAAATATCACAATACCTGTGCCACGACTAAACCCCCATACTACATATATCACCCGCTTACAAAACACATATACCTACACTGAATCCTATCATCCAGGATTAACTACTACAACTACTGTTAACAGTTTTGTTGATTCTTTCCTTTTTTAAAATTTTTAAATCTTCATTTGGACAAGATTATGTGAGTAGTTAGAGGGAGATGTATATACAAATTTCACAGACATCTCATATATGACTATTTTAAAAATATAATCATATTTTATATATGATTCACAAAATACTTTTTTCACTTAGCATATAGCATAACATTTTTTATATTAGTGATACACATATATCTTATTCTTTTACTCACCAATTCATGTTTTTTAAATGCAAAACCGTTTTTACAAGCCTATATCTTTATTCACTGTTAAAAGTACTAGAAATAAAGCAGAGACTAACCAGACAAAATTACAGCAGTTAGATGGCTTCTATTTTATACTGGAAAGCTGAGAAAGCAACCAGAGAAGGTGATACCTGAGAAAGAACTGAAGGAAGTGAGGGACTAGACATGTAGAGCTTCAGTAGATGAAATTCCAGGCTGAGAAAAATAAAACAAAATCTTTCAGTCAAGAAAATCCTTGAAATATGCGATTAAACAGAATGATCACTGGCTGAAATGTGCTGAATTCAATTGTAGCCACTGAAATAGTCTGTTGGCATAACTCTCTATAAATGGTTCAGTGTTAACAGGTTAATTATAATTAACAATGCCATATTTTATAGTTATAAATAAACTCTTTTTAATCATTAAATATTGCAAGAACCACAAAATAGTGTCTGACTCGAAGAAACAATTGTTATTGCTATAAAATAATAAGCCACTATAAATATGGAGACTGCCCAGAGGTAGTGCTGAATACATATATTGGAGGTCATTATCATATGGGTGAAGTTAGTGGAACACAAAATGGGAAAGGGACAGAGATGAAACTGACGTAAACATGAAAATTTGCTAAGTCCAGGAGATTGAGAAAAAAAAAAACAACAGCAAAGGGGATGAGAAGAAGCTGCTAGAGATGTGGAAGAAAATAAATTCAAAGAGTATGACACTAAGTCATTTGAGAGTTTTAAAATACTCATAAATGCAATTATGAAAATGTAATAGCAATTTAAAAAGAAGTGTAAAAAGGAGAGCCTGACTACCAAGTTTTGAGACATATCTTGGAAGCACAAACATAGAGACATTTATTGTAGAGTATTGATATCTCCTAAAAATCTGTATCATTTTCAATGACAGAAAAGTCAGTTAAAATACCTATGGATTTTAAAAATCAAAACTAGTTTTATTTTCAAAAATATGGATATTATTAAAATCAATAGGCTTTTATAAGAGTACTCGATTAGAGTCCCCCTTACTAATTCACTTCTCGAATTGTATCACATGAGCTAACCAGCTTCCTACTTACCCACTTAGAGAATGCAACCTTAAGAATAAAGGCCCAGAATGAAGAATAAACACTTTTAAAGAGTGAAGAAATATGGCCACATATCCTATCTATAATGGATAAATATGTTAGTCTTCTACTTCTATATGAGATAATGTTAAGCTAGTAGCTGTAATCTTCTTTGTATCTTCTAGATATGTTTCTGTGACAGAATATTGAGTGAAAAAGTGAATAAGTGGTTTCATAGGTAAAATAGCATGTCGGATGAGTGTAAGTTTAAGAAAGCTTGTAGTTTTTGAGCTGAGATTTTAAAGTGAAATTTGAGACAATGAAAATGAGGAGATAAAAACTTCCTGAGAAAAGAAAACCATCAATCAAAATTGTTCTAAGCTCCAAACATATTATAAAATTTATAAAATTCAGAGTATTCATGCAAGATGTTAATTGGGTCACTTCACCCCAGCTAGGTTAAAAAAAAAATCCCCTTAGCTTCTAGCTAGGTGATAATTACATTTATTCTTGTGAAATGAAGTGACTATATGTGGGTAGAAAATTCTTTGCACTGAGCTAGACAAAGGCTGAGTGGAAATCAGTGAAGTATAACGACAAAGAAAAGAATTAGGACAATAAAATTAATAACCACACATAATTAGCATTATAACAACCTTTTATTTGTGAGTAATTACTACTTTTGTAATGGGTTGATTATTAAATTTTAGTCATAGATTCGTTTTGGCTTTATTCTTCCTTAACAAGAATTTTGATTGCTGAGTTATTTTTTTCTTAAGAAAGTATTAACTTGATTTTTTCTGACTATTTAATTTTATTCTGTTTATGACAGAAAATGCTTTTGTAAAGTTTTAAATTATTTTTCTAAATATGAGATTTTCAGTGAGTTGTATTTTTGTTTGATCAAATGAATTTTATAATTCAATCTGATATTTTACTTTACTAATTCTAGTCAATTAGCTTTCTCTTCAGTATCTTAGCTATCAATTATATTTTAAATAGTCACTTTTTTTCATTCATTTTGCAGTACATTTCCTGTTTTGCCACTATGCACAAGCAATTGTAAATTGTAAAAATATTGCTTTCAACAGGAGCATTCGTGAATGCCTCCCATTTTCGGGTCTCAAGGGAGCACACCCTGGCAAGAAAATCTAGCAAATATATTTGATAACAAAGGAAGAAGTAGAATCCCTATCATATGTAAGAACTGACAAAAGACCTTTGTCTTTTGTGCCTATGTAATTTTTTTGGCCTTATTAGCAGCAAGAACAAAAAACAACATAGATCTCATAGATGTATCATAAAATTATTAGGCTGTCCTAAAAAAAATGAATAAAACTTCTTAAAAGTTCCAACAATTTCGGTTGTCTGAAAAAATTACTGTGCTGTTGTGTAAGAAAAAGGTTTTTATTATTATTATTATACTTTAAGTTATTGGATACATGTGCAGAATGTGCAGGTTTGCTACATACCTGTTACATACCTATATACCTGTATATGTGTGTAACAAACCTGCACGTTCTGCACATGTATCCAAGAACTTAAAGTAAACCTTCACTTTCCATATGAACTGGCAATATCTGAAGTTGGCATGCACATAATCGATGACCCAGTCATTGCATTCATAGGTATGTGCCCAATAATAACATGTACATGTGTGTCACAAAAGTACAAGAATTCTATTATTCATAAATAATGCTGTTACTCATAAAGGATGCATTTTTCATAAATCTAAAAATTAAAATAAATCAAATTCTATCAAGAATAGAAAAATCAATTGTGATATATCCCTTAAAAGAGAATGCAAATTAAATAAATGTGTGCTACAGTAAACAACATGGAAAAAACATACTGAAAGAAAGAACTCAGATATAAAAGAGCAGATATTGTATGATTCCATGTAAATAACATGCATAGACAGAAAACCTAATTATTGCTGAAAGCTGGATACTGTTTTCCATTATGGGGACTGCGACTTGAAGCACCATGAGGACTTCTGGATGCTGGGGCTAATCGTGATCGGTTCACTTTGTGAAACTTTGTCCAGCAACATCTTTGTGATTTGTGTAGTTTTTCTATATTTTATAAATGGTAATACGTTTTTCTATAAAATAGTAAGATAAAAAATTTGTGTTGTACAAATTATTTTGTTAAAAATAGTTTGTCTGGAAATACAACCTAAAATAAGACAGAAATATATAATCAAAATCGCGTGAAATGCACTCTAGGAATTAAATATTTATGTCATAAGCAAAAGTTGAACCTGGATATTCAATAAACATATGAAAGGATACCACACTTTATCAATAGTAACACCAATACCACGTTTAATGGGATGATGGCTTATTAATTTCTCTAATAGATGGTAACATCGGGATGAACAAGATTTATTATGTTAGTCAAATTAAAGATGCTTGTGATGAACACAGAATCTTAACTGTCAGTACCTGCACAACAAACTTTATTAAGTGGTATGTTGTTGAAAATTATTTAAATGAGAAGATAATGAAGCAAAACTCTTGAAATATGTTTAGCATAATTAATTCTGAAAAGTAGGGAAGTTCATTAAAGCTAAGAAAATAGTTTCCCATTTTAAAAAACATATTTTAAACCATTTAAAGTACTGCATTAAAATGACTCAAAAGAATCAGCAATCAGGTTATATTTAAGCTTTTCTTTTGCCATTAGAAAATAATATATAAAATATTTTCCCTAAATGTCTTGAACAAGTCAGTAAAATAATATTACTCCTCATGAATTAAGTAGTAGTTATAATTTCATAATAATAGAATTATATAATTTCATAATAATAGTTATATATCCTATTAATCTAGAGTTTTGAAAACATTTAGACAAAGGGTTATATTCTAAGAGTAAAACTACATGGCTACATTTAATATATGTGGGGCTAAAACAGCAAGATCTCTTAAATCTAGTTCATATTCTTTTGAAAATGTAACAAAATGTTACCTATTTTTCCATTATTGTTCTGTACTGTAATATATATTAGTAATCAAGAAGCAGGAGAGAAAACAAATTGCCAAATAATATAAAAGTTGGCATAATTTGTAGAATTGATCAAATAAGCAATTACTATATTAAATGTGAAATGGAGAAGATCTTTAATAATAGAGATAGAAATCATAAGATACATAAAGAAAGGCATTAAAAAATAAAATCAACAATTAAGAAAATAAAAAATAAGAAACCAGTGTGCTACAATAGCATTTTCTATATGTGTAGACTGTATTTCTGGAGACCTGTACCATGAATCTAGATTTAAAAAAAAAGAATGATAGAATTAATGCCTATAGAAGTCCAAATCATTTTTGTGCCCTATTAGTGAAAAATTGAGTTAGTTTTTTATATAAAAATTGAAAATGAACGTTAACAATTATAAAGAAAAAAATACTCAGCTGATTTTTAATATATCTCCGTTTTGACAAGCTTTATGTAATCTCAGATTATTCAAATAATTGTTTATATATTATTTTTTCACAGTGACATAAAAAATGTTAACATTTCGTCCAATTCCTGTTTGTGGAAATTGTATTCATTATTCCCCTAGATACTTGGCTAAGAAATAAAATGAGGCATAATGATACTTTCTTCTCAAAAAATATTAATTCAGGTCTTTTGGTCAGGAACACTTTCTGCAATATACAATCTTTCTAGAGTATGTTGAATACCAATTTAGATAACTCTCAGCTAGGATATAAATGATATTTTATTTTATGATACCTCTCTTTTCTTTCCTTCTCTTTTTCCCTCCTTTTCTCTCTCCCTCCCTTCCTCTTCTCATAATGCAAAGCATTAGTGGAAAATCTGACAAGTATTTATTTCTTTTTAAAATTGAAAATCTGTAATGAAATCAAATAGCTTTCTTCCAGAGCAGCTCTTCTGCTCTTCATTTTTACCATGCCATTTGCTCTTTAAAGCAGACATCTGGAATGAACAGGCTCTCTCCAGATTCCATGCTGCATGGACTTTTTGACCAGGAAAGCCATTTACCGATCAAATAAGCTTTTAATGGTCCTGTATTTTCCACTGTTTTTCTCCCAAAGAGAAGAATTACCAATAGCCCCAAACTTGCTGAGATGTTTAGCTCTTCAATACAAAGTAGATGTTTTTTCTGGTTAATATTTAATAATTTAAGGTTAACTCCTAAAGACCTTTGTTATTCTTAAGTGTCAATACACCTAGATTATGAGTTTACTTTATTCAAGTTCTAATTTAGGTATTTTTGAAAAATCGCATTGGTATTCTAAAAAAACATATTCTAAAATGTATATAAAGAAGAGCATAGAAGTAATATGCAGTCCAGATCCCACAAGCCAAATATTTTAAAATAGTTCATTAATCAAAATAAATTTATGTATATAAGTAATCCTTGTATTGAAAGGTGATGCAATTTTTATCTTCATAAATATGAATAACTCAAAATAAACTAAAAGAAAAACCACAAAAACCTGTTCTCTTTCATGAATTTAAATAATTCACAAAGAAATGCTTTCTGATGTTTTATATATTACTGCTATTTTACAATTAAAAGCAACCTTGTCATCATCTTTTGAATAATGCTAATACAAAATTT
The DNA here is from genome assembly GCF_000001405.40 of Homo sapiens. Taxonomy (NCBI): domain Eukaryota; kingdom Metazoa; phylum Chordata; class Mammalia; order Primates; family Hominidae; genus Homo; species Homo sapiens. The sequence goes on from NC_000004.12 coordinate 116,463,002, forward strand.
TTAAAATTGTATGCCTGTTGTTTCTAACTATGATTGATTTACAATTCCATTAAGCCACATATTTTTGTATGTATAATAAAAAAACCTTGTATCTTGCACACTTTGGGAGTAAATATCAAAATATGTCACCCCTAAATTTAACATATTATGGAAATACTATTTATCTCTGTTAGAGAAACTTTTTTTCAGCCTCTAGAATGTTAATATTAATGTCCATGCTCTGAATTATTAGAATTTGTCTTGTAATTCACATGAAATACCAGTACCTAAGGCATTCATTTGATAATTTGACAATAATTTGGTTGCCTTCCAGTACATGACAAAAGCATGACTGAGATAATTCCCATTTGAAAGAGACACTCTAAAGGACTTGCTAATTAAATATTCCTTCAGATCATTGTTTCCAAAGAGCTAGTGTGCATAAAAATCACCTGTTAATATTCAAATGCCCTTTCCTATGATTAAATAAAACTTGATTAATTGGGTAATATTCATACTTCTTTTCTTTTGTTTCTCTCGTAGTCCATCTTCCCCTTCAGTCTTCATCCTCAAGCTTTTTCCCTTGTTCACCTATTTTAATTAGATGGAGTCTGAGACACATTAGCCAATGTTTTATTAATGATTGTGGTTGCTGTTTCTAAGTTACAAACCAGATTCTGTCATTCCTTTATTTTACTTTTTGTGCTGAGGTGAAAATTATTTCATTCTTTACTTGCATCTAATTTCAAGGTCCATATAATTGTCAATAAGCTAAATTCAGCAATTCAGGGCCTGAGATAGTATATGTTTTTTGAAGCATTTTATGTTTTCTGCATGTATCAATTGAAAAGACAGAAGAAAGAGTATTCTTGTGTGATGGTTTGTCCTAGACATAGGGTTTGAGCTTGTTTCCTGAGTACTGTACTAAAAGAATATGTGAAAATGGAGAAACAAAAGTAAACAATATTAACAGTGAATAGGGAGTTGATTGGAAAGATCTCAATGTAGAGAGAGGGTCCAAGTGATCATACAAATTTAGAACCTGTAGCACAAACAATTTTGAGGCTGCATGATAGTTAATGGAAGTCTTGGTAGCACTAAACAGCTTGGGGACAAGTAAACTACAAACAAACATTCCAGAAACCATTGGAGAGAGGAAGAAAATTGGGTTGGCATCTGGCAAGTTGGCAGATGTTTATTATTGAATTTGAAAATCATTTTTGACAATAAGATTCTTAAAAGAGAAAAGTTTAAGTTAGTACATTATACATATTGTTGCTTCATTAAACATCATCAAAGATGTTCATCTGGATACAAAAAACTTACTGGAACCAACCAAAAGTTATGAGACATCCTATGGGTTTTGTAAGCACATGCACAAATATACACAAAATAAGTCAAATAATGGAATGTGCCTTGATGCCAATTTGCTTATAGGTAAATGTTCTTCATATTAATTGTTTTAACAATCTGTAAATGTTAACTAAATTCTGGTTAAAATATCTAGCATAGTGTACCAAATTTTGCCATGTACTGACTTGGCAAGTTATTCCTAAAATTGCAGATTCTGATTATTCTCTGAATAAGCAAACAAAAATAATTGTAACTTTTCCAGCATTTAAATGTATAGATTTTAGATCCAAGGCTTTGAGGCAATTTCGTCTCCCATTACTGTGCCTAATAACGTATGAACAAATTACTATTTTTATCCTATTGACACCTAAGTATTCAACTTATTTATTTTTACATCCAATATGACTACTTCCACTGAGGGCAAAGTAAAGTTTGTATCAGATTGGAAGCTGACAGTGCTTTTTGCTCCTTAGCGGTATTCATGATTATCAAAAATGTTTTCGCATTTGCTGGGGTGCTCACTTTGACTCTTACAAGGAAATGGGAGAAGCAGGGATGGAATAAAAGTGGTTCTCTGGGCTACCTCTAATACTGCCATTGTCTGTCAATAAAAGGGAGTAGAAGTTAATGAGGTCCCATAGAGGAAATAGCTCTCAGTAATCAGAATGTTCAGGAATGAGTGGATCATATCATAAACTAAAGAACTCTGATCAGTTAAGTGCCAGCAGAATGTAAAAGGAACACGAATGGATTGTCGATGAGGAAAAACATATTCACCAAATAGAGACTTTGTTTAATATTTCTCTCCATTATTATTATTATTTTTTTTGAGACAGAGCCTCACTCTGTTGCCCAGGCTGGAGTGCAGTGGTGCAATCTCGGCTCACCACAACTTCCGCCTCCCAGGTTCAAGCAATTCTCCTATCTTAGCCTCCCAAGTAGCTGGGATTACAGGCATGTGCCACTATCCCTGGTGAATTTTTTTGTATTTTTAATAGAGACAAGGTTTCACTGTTTTAGCCAGACTGGTCTCAAACTCCCAACCTCAGGTGATTTGCCTGCCTCTGCCTCCCAAAATGCTGGGATTACAAGCGGAGCCACTGCGCTTGGCCTGTCTCTATATTTACTTATGTGTTACTTTATTTAAAAGAAGCTATTTCTTCTCCTTTTCTCAGTATTTTCACATGATATGATGTGAATTGATGGCATTATAATTTAATCCACAGGTAATAGAATATCAAAAAGAGAACACGATAAAAGCTGAAAAAAAATAACTATCAGCAAAGATTTGGACCCTGCTGATGATGCAGGATCCTGAGGTTTTGGGTTGCCTTCTGCTGAGAATGAGTTAGACATCTTTTGGGTTATATAGTGGGTAGATTCATTGTTCAGAGGCATCACCAAGGGGCAGGGTAAATTTGTGGATAGTAAGATAAATGTATCTTAAATAAGTTAAATAAGTAAATATAAATGCATAAATGGCAGCAAGTGTGGTGGTTATACTGAGCATTTATGGTTCCTTTTATTGTGTAACATCGGTACCCCTTTTTCTACATCTGGGGAATTGAACTATATGGATCTCAGTGAGAAACCTATCCAGCTTCCTACTAAAGAAGCTGAAACTGCCAGATACGGACTTTCCAAGATTCTCTTGCAAAACAGAGTAGTGCAACACTTAACTTAGACTTCACTAATTGGACTTTGTTAAAAATAAGCAGGAACGATGAAGTAATCTTTCTGGTGGCAGAAATTGTGATAGCGAGATCAGACTCCTTTAGCAAATGCAATAGAGATGTCTTCACTGGATCAGTAATGTGGTTTGGCATGAGATATTTTCCAGCCGCTGTAGCTTTAAACTTAGTATTCCAGGTTTTCTGAAGATTATGTGAGGAACATTATACCTTCTTAAAAATTCCTTTTCAGCCACAGCAAGTTTCTCTTAAAACTAAGAATGCAAAATGACACAAAGTGTTTGAAGACTGTCACTGAACCATATATCAGGTTTCAGTGCGGAGGAGCTCCATGGGAGCACCCACTGGTCCTTTTCATAACCCACTCCATCATTCCCCCCAAGGAAAAGAAGATGAGTGAACACAACAAAAGTTGATGAATAAGTTGGTTCTTGGGTTCCCTGTTCTTGGGAACTGCCTGTTCAGATGGGTGTATTGCTGGCAATTATCCAGAAGAGCGTTAGGTGGAGGGGCAAGTTTGTCTAGTTAAATGAGAAGTGAATTCTCTACGGCTATGAGACACCAGTTTATTTATCAACAAATCTGAGACAGTAAAAGTACCATCATTTTTATGTAATTTTTTTCTGGCTTTTATATGTATTTCTCAGGGATTCTGAACTATGTTGAACTGAAAAGTAAAAAGGAAAAATGTTGTTTACTACTCTCATTAGCAATAATATAATATAAATTTTATATATAACCAAGTCATAAACATATAAATACATAATTTGGAGCATATAATTGAAGACACTTGTGTTTTACTGATAAGTGAAATTAGCATATACATGCTTTATTTATATGACATTATTCTATTTCCCTTAATGGTTTAGAAATTGTTTATAACTTTAGTCATTTTCAATTTTATGTATAAAATTTTATAGATCATTATAGAAAAGTTTTATGAAACTAAAATTAAGGAAAACCAAAATTACATATAAATGGAAATCTTTATTACTCCAAATGTTTTTCAAAGAACTACTGCATTTTGCTTCCTAAGACGTGAAGAAAAATGCTTTTGTGAGGCATATAAAGTTATACTTAAAAAAAAAAAGCCTCAAGCAGATTCTTACACTTCATTGACTCCATTAATCTTTATTTTTCTTATTTTTGTTTGCTTGACTGCAGCCTTCAACTGGATGCTATACCTCAGGCATTACCACTCCTCTGTTCCTCTGTATTTTTTTTATCTTGAAGAATCCCAAACTCAAACATTTGACTAAAACTTTTTCTTCCTATTATTCTTCTCTCATTCCCACATTTCTGTTAAAATTGTTCATTACCTGTAAGGGGAATTCTCTTAACTCCTAAATTTTATGTCAGGTTTCTGTCCTCTCTTGGCTTCATTTTTATCCCTATAATCTTTCTAAACTAAGGTAAAGGGGTTGAATAATCAATTCACTAATTTTTAGAGTCTCTCTTATCTCTGATTTTCTCTCAACTGCCACACCAATGATTTTATATCTAAAAAAAAAAGACAGTGGTCTCCTCTAACTAAGCACCTGCTTTATATCTGAGTTCAGACCATACAAAGCTACATTTAAACATATATTCAAAATTGAATGTTTGCTTCCCACCCCTAAACCTGCTGTGTGCCCCATCTTCTCTTTCCTATCTTGATAAATGTCTCCACTAATTCCACACTGGCCAAGTGAGAAATCTAGGATTTATTGTTGATTTCCCCCTTTATCCTAACCCATATATGATTTACCTCCAAAGATGTTTTAGATTCTGTTCATTGTTGTCCATTTCAATTGAAGTCACTTGCATATGTGGCCCAGATTTTCACCTGCAATCCTTACTGAAACTGCCAAATGTCCTTTCTTTTTTTCCCCCTGAGACCTGGATATGCTGTACTGTAACCAAAGTGAAGCTAAAAGTCAAATACAATCCACAAAAGTGATCGTCTAAAGCCTTTTGAAGACTCCTTGCACTCGATCTTTCACCCTCCATGCATATCCCTTTGATACTTTCACAAACTTATCACCCACTACAGACACTTCTACTCACTTATTTCATTCCCTATCAAATACGAAGTTCTGGAAAGCACTTCAAACCCTTAGCAAATGTTAACCCTGATTTCACAACTTAAGATAATGATTCATCACCATTCTTAAAATGACAGCTTAAATCTTATCTGCTAATAGCTGCTTTTTTGGACCACCCAAAAAAAGTAGGCCAGTTCACCTATATACTAGTTTTATTTGTTGGTTTCAGCTTTACTTTGAATATTGTTTGCTTCTCTTCATAGTATTCAGCAGAATTTATTAGTATTTAATGTGTTTTGTTAATTATTTATATCAAGTCTTTACCACATCATAGGCTTCCTGAGGAAATAGCATCTGGAGTAGTTGCCATTTCACATCTAAAGTCTGGCACAGTTTCTGGAACATTGATTATAAGGAAATTTTGGTAATAGGAAAATGACTGAACTCTGGCAAACACTTTCTCTTTATTTCCATTTGATCTAATGGAAAGAGTCACCTGAATATTATTACTTCTCCTAAAATATATGCATTATAAATTTAACCCATCATGAATTGTTTTATTAATCACTCTGGAATTCTCATTTAAGTATTATGAACATTTTGCATTCCTCTAACCAAGCTACCTCATCACTACCCTCCACTTTTCCTAAACAAATGATGCTGCTGAAATGACAATGTAATCTGAGATAACCTGATATAAATGTATTTAACCTATTTTTTTCTGAATCAATATATTCTTTTTAATTTTTACATGATGTTTTACAAATATTATCTCAAAATTAATACTCTGTTTTCTTCTCTCACACTCTTAAAGTCACTTTCCTGAATAATCTTTCTTTTCTTTACACATATCTTAATCAGACTTTCAAACTCTAAGTGTAATAAACTTCATAGTCAAACCAAAACTGTATATGTACTTTAACTCCCATGGTTTCCCATTCATTAAGCAGAAATTGAATGTGGAAAGGGCCAAATATTCTATTTTTCTCCACCTACCTTCCTTTTTCAGGGTGATTTTCTTTGAGTTTGGAGAATGGGTTCTGGAAACTGTAAAAGGCAGAAAATAATATTTATTTTACTAGTGCTGTTCTGTCCTTCATTGGTTCCCCTAGCTAAGATTGACTGTCATTGATATTTATGAAGTTGGCATCCAAATGCTGACTCCATTGTGCAAAAAACAGAGAGTTTTAAGAGAACTTGTAGGATAGAAATTCACTTTAGTTTGGACTCTCTAAATTCTCTCCTCTTAACTCTTGCCTGCAATAGTACACCACAATTTTCCCCCTTCATCAGGTGACCTCTTTGCATAAAATATTTAAAAGAAGGGCTTATGCTTAGCAAGAGTCCACGTGGCCTACTTTACATACAAAAAACTCAAAGATTCTTATTTTGTCAATTCTCTTTTCCTTCAAAAAAAAAATAATGAGAGGAAAAGAAATCTGGCACCTCATTGGCAGAGATCACCTGCAAGAAAAAGATGCACAATACACTCTCTTTTTCAGTGACTTTCGGTCTCCCTAATTGAATTTTTCGGAGTCCTCTCACATAACCTGATATATAGAGAAATATCTTGGCTTTCCACAAAGGAAGTAGAGAAATAAAAACAAAACGAAATAAAGAAAAATCTTCCCACTAGATAGAGAGTAATGGCTTCAATAATTTCTGTGAATACATCTTGGATGAGGAAGTAGAGATATGCTGCTGCTATTAATAAGTTCTGGTAACTTATCTGTCTTTAAAAGTTTTCAGTTCTCTTTAGAAACATTCAGCTCTTCACACATCTTTGATTTCTCCCTTTATACAGGTCACAGATGCCAAAACAACAAGGCAAGTTGTAACATTTATAAACATGAAAGAAATTGATCCTTTATCAACAATTGATCTTACTTTCTGTACAGTTTTTTGAGTTTTGAGTATTTATTACCATTTTTAAACAATAGCTTTATTGATATAAAATATTTTATATTATGCAAATAACACAATTCGCCCATCTGAAATGCACATTCAGTGGGTTTTGGTGTATTCACAGATGTGTACAACCACAACACAATTAATTTTAAAATATTTTAATCACCTGAAAAGAAATCCTGTACAAATTAGTAGTCACTCCTTATTTCTCCTCAGCCCCAGAAAATCATTAATCCACTTTTTATCATTATAGATTTGCCTATTTTGGACATTGCACATATAAAAATCATAACATATGTAGTCCTTTGTGACTGGCTTCTTTCACTTAACATGTTTTAAGTATCTATTTTGCTGTAACATGCATCAACTTCATTTCTTTTCATTACTGAATAATATAACATTCCATGTACATGTATTTGATGTATTTCATATATTCATTCGTAAGTTCATGGACATTTGAAATGTTTCTGTATTTTCTACTATGAATAATGAAGCCATGAACATTAGCGTACATGTTATTGTCTATAAATATGTTTTTAGTTACCTTGGTTTTGTATATGGGTGTGAAATTCTGGGACTATATGATAATTCTCTTTAACTTTTGAAAAGCTAGAGACTGTTGTCAACGTGGCATTCCCAGGAATAGCATATGTAGGTCCCAAATTTGCTGCATCCTCAGCTACATTTGTTATTATCTGTCTTCCTTTTTATGCATTTAATCTTGTTATTGTATATATTTATATATGTCTTATTGATTACATCTACTCCAATGGGCAAGAAGTAGTGTTTCACTGTGGTTTAGATTTGCATGTTCTTGATGGCTACATTTGTTGAATATTTTTCCGTGTACTTATCAGTCAATTGCAAAAATATCCAGTGATATCCTTTGCCCATGTAAAAATTGTATTATTTGTCTTTTCATTATTTCACTGTCAGAGTTATATATGTATGTGTGTGTGTGTATTTGTATGTGTGTGTAAAGTATCTGTAGACATTCTCGATACATGCTCTTTATAAGATGTATGTTTTGCAAAGATTTCTTCCCACTCTCTGGGTTGTCTCATCACTTTCTTGAGGATATCCTTGTCATATGGTTTGGCTGTGCCCCCACCCAAACTCTCATCTTGAATTGTAATCTGAATTATAATCCCCACATGTTGAGGGAGGGACCTTGTGGGAGGTGATTAGATCATGGGGGCGGTTTCCTCAAGCTGTTCTGATAATGAGTGAGTTCTCATGAGATCAGGTGGTTTTGTAAGGGGCTTTCCCCACTTTCCTTTGCACTTCTCTCGCCTGTCACCTTGTGAAGAGGTGCCTTCCACCAAGATTGTGAGTTCCCTGAGGCCTCCCCAGCCATGCAGAACTGTGAGTCAATTAAACCTCTTTTCTATATAAATTACCCAGTCTCTGGTATTTCTTCATAGCAGCATGAGAACAGACTAATACAACTTGGAATCACAAGAACTTTTAACTTTAATGAAATCCTGTAGTTTTGTCACTGTTGTTTTTGTTATTATAGGTAAAAAGGTTTTGCCTAGCTTGAAGTAATAGAGATATGCTCTATATTTTTTCTTCTAAGAGTTTTCTAGTGTTAGCTGTTACATTTAGATCTATGTTAATTTTTCGTTGCCAGTTTTCCCAGCCTGATTTGCTGAAGATACTATTATTTTCCCCTTTGAATTGTTTTAGTACTTTCATTAAAAATCCACTGACCATAAATGTGCAGGTTTGTTTCCAGACTCTCAATTTTATTCCATTGATGAATATCCCTATCATTATGCTGGTAGCATATTGACTTGTTTAATGTAACTTCATAGTTACTTTTGAAATCTGAAATGTGAGTCCCCCAACTCTGAACTTTGTTCTTTTCAAGATTGTTTTGCCTATTCTGGGCTCCTTAAAATTACACATGGTTACAAGCATCTGTTTTTTTTTTTTTTTTTTCATTTCCGAAAATAAAAAAGCCAGCTGTCATTTTGATAGAGATTACATAGAACCTGTGGAAAAATTTGGGAAGTAATTTCATCTCAACAACAATAAGTCTTTGATCCAAGAACATACCTTAATTTTTATTTTGGGCTTATTTAATTTCTTTGAACAATGTTTTGTTGTTTTCAGAATGTAAGTTTTGTTTTGTGTTGTGTTGTTTGTGTTTTGAGATGGAGTCTCTCTCTGTCTGTGCAGTGGTGTGATCTCGGCTCACTGCAACCTCCGCCTCCTGGGTCCAAGCGATTCTCATGCCTCTGCCTCCCAAGTAGCTGGGGTTACAAGCGCCCACGACCATGCCTGGCTAATTTTTGTATTTTTATTAGAGATGGGGTTGCACCATATTGGTCAGGTTGATCTCGAACACCTGACCTCAAGTGATCCGCCCACCTTGGCCTTCTGAAGTGCTGGGATTACTGGTGTGAGCCACCTCACCTGGGCGGAATATAAGTTTTGAACTAATTTTGTTATTTCTTCTCAAATACTTTATCTTCCTAATGTTATTATAAATTACTTTTTCTCATTCTAGTTTTAGATGATTTATTGATAGTGTATAGAAACGAACTGACTTTTGTGTATTGATCATGTACCCTGCAACTTTGCTGAACTTTTTTCTTAGTTCAAATAGCTCCTTATGTGGGTTTCATAGGATTTTCTACACAAACAAGATCACGTCATCTGCAAATATAGTTTTATTTTCTTTATAAACTTTTATATATTTTTCTTGCCTGATTACCCTAAGTAAAACCTTCAGTAAAATGTTGAATAGAAGTGGTAAGAGGCAACATTATTTTCTTGTTCCCTAATTTAGGGAGAAAGCATTGAATCTTTCAAGATTAAGTATGATTTTAGCTGTGGGACTTTTGTAGATGTTCTTTATCAGATTGAGGCATTTTTCTCCAAATATCACCTTGTTGATAATTTTTTATCAAAAAGGAGTGTTGAATTGTGTCAAAGAGTTTTTGTACATTTATTTAGATTAATAAAACATAAGCTCTGTAAATCAATGAGAAAATAGCATTCCCACTACCAAAATGCCATTTACATGTTAAATTTGAAACCCTACACAGGTTTAATACAAGAAACAAGGCTCTTCTGGGGAGCAGTGTCTAACGGGATCATATTTCTCTAGTCAAAGAATGGTTCACCTCTGTATTGTAATGGCCAGTATTTCTTTTTCTTTTTCTTCTTCTTTTTCTTTTTGAGACAGTCTCGCTTGTTTCCTGGGCTGGATTGCGGTGGCGTGGTCTCTCAGCTCACTGGAACCTCTGCCTCCCAAGTTCAAGTGATTCTCCTGTTTCAGCCTCCTGAGTAGCTGTGATTACAGGTGCCTGCCACCACGTCCAGCTAATTTTTTGTATTTTTAGTAGAGACGGGGGTTTCACCATGTTGGCCACACTGGTCTCAAACTCCTGTCCTCGTGATCTGCCTGTCTCGGCCTCCGAAAGCGCTGGGATTACAGGCGTGAGCCACTGTACCCAGCCAATGGCCAGTATTTCTTGAATCATTAGTTCAAATGGTCAGGTGTAAGACTCATGTGAATATGTTTTGACAATTTATCATGTTGTATCTTCCCATACCTAAAACATATTTCTTGAATAAACAAAGTGACTTTATTGAACTACTGCTGTCTTCTGTAATTTTAATAATAAAGAAATGTTAAGAGAAATCAGCAATGAACACAGGAAAATTTGTTTAAAATTCTTATTCACAAAATTATTGGGTGTCTTTTGTCTCTCTCCCTCTGTCACACATTTGCTTACAAACACACAAAAAAAACATACACACACAAAGCAGACACTCACCACACATTATATTTACGTGCTTTGCTCTTGCTTATTGCATCATAAATGCTGATTCTTGTTTGGAAGAGAGTAAGATGAAATTTCTGTTATAGTGTTTCATTGGGCTACCCTGAGGGAAATTATTTTCCTGCTTCTTTTATAGAATATTCCTGGTGTCAGAAAACATTTTTCTCTCTACAGGGATTCACATTATTATTCAACATTTTCTATAATAAAAAAAAAAGCCTGCAATACGTTCCCCAGACACCTGTGTTGAATTGTGGGTCCTTCATTTTTAAGAGTAAAATCAGATCATTTGTCTCCCACCACTTGACAAATTCATAATTAGAAAGCTTCAATAGCTATATTTTATCATTAAATGACATGAGTTCAATATCTTCTGTAGAGTCTGGAAATCAGTCCAATTATTTCACAGTCCAACATAATAACTATTATCATTTTCTTTTGAAATGTTCAAGAATTACTATAATGGTTATGCCATGAAAGGTTCAGCATACTTAATTAGTTTAATAAATAAAAAAGTAATATCACAATGAAAATATCTCTGATAATTTATATCTTATTTTTAAAGTCAGAAGGATGAACACAAAAAGGTAATATATAGGTTTCTTCTGCACTCTTCCTAACCTTGATTTAACTATTATTCAAATAATTATAAATTACTACAGGTACATATATTTATATATGTACATAACATATTTTATGTCTATATCTATATATCTGTATGTGTGTTTGTGTAAAATGGGAGCAAGAAACTGCATTTAATGCATAAGCTACCAAATTTGAATATCATGCTGAGACGCAGTTGAAGTATTTATTTCCACTTTACGTTTAGATATAGAGTGCTATATTATTTGTTGCATGCTTTAGATAATGACTGAAATTTTATGTGATTTTCTTTAATAGTTTCTCCCATTCTAGCATAGTCAGTAGAAGAAAATTCAGTGACAGAGGTTTTTGGTTTTGTTTTGTTTTTTAATCTAAATCTTTTTTTTTTTTTTTTTCTGGAGAAAGCTGGAAATTAGGAGGCTAAAAGAGTACCTTTTCCCTTAAAAGGTATTAAAAGGCCAGTTGCAGTGGCTCAAGCCTGTAATCCCAGAACTTTGGGAGGCCAAGGCAGGCGGATCACCTGAGGTCGGGAGTTCATGACCAGCCTGACCAACATGGAGAAACTCTGTCTCTACTAAAAACACAAAATTAGCTGGATGTGGTGGCGCATGCCTGTAATTCCAGCTACTTGGGAGGCTGAGGCAGGAGAATCGCTTGAACCCGGGAGGCAGAGGTTGCAATTAGCCAAGATCGTGCCAATGCACTCCAGCCTGGGTAACAAGAATGAAACTCCACCTCAAAAAAAAAAAAAAGTATTAAAAATACCTTTTTCATTTTTCTCCTGACATAGTAGAAATCATCTATGATTTTGACAGAGTTGCAAAACAAGTGTAAAGCATAACTTTTTCTAGATTTAAAAGAACAAAAACTGTATATAATATTAAAAAGACAGTAAGTTTTAATGTAAGTTTTTACTATGACTTTTTTTATCACATCTTTGAATTTAGGTAAAATTAGATATACTTAAGAAATATTATTAAACTATGCCTTGAAAAGATAGTTATGTTTTTAATTGCTTGAGAAAATATGTAGAAGATTAAGATAGAAAGTTTAAAAGAACTGTTTGAGAATTTTCATAAGAATTTTAAAGTTCACTCTTTGCACCATATTAGTGATGCGTATTGTTTTTTATTATCTTGGAGACAGGAAAAATAAACTGGCTTATAATTGGACTTTACAAAGAAGAACAGTCGTTGTCAGTACTGCAAGAGATGGCAACTATCTGGAACCCATTCATTAATTATGGCACAGAAAGTAGATGTCTATATGTGTTCTATATTCTTTTCATATCCACATTTTTGACTTTGAAGAGAAATTAGCATTGAAATATACATATGTAGAGATGTTCATATGTACATAAACATAACATAGATACACATAATATACATATGTAAATCTACATAATGTATAGTATATGTTCCATATGTATATTTATTTTTATTTTCTTTCCAAAATAGGAAAAAATAAGAATAACTGACATAGACTTTTGATTCAGTTATACTGTCTGAAATGTAACCAGAGCAGAGAATATTAAAAATAGGTGTCAGAAGCACTTAGGAAACAGTTACTGGATTTATATATGATATCTTAATATTTGTCTCTCACTTTATGCTAGTGATACAATTATTAGTAGCAGATTTGGAAAAAAAATTGATTATTATGTATTATTTATGATACATGATTATTTATGATACATGATGTTAATTTACCAGTGTAAATTAAAAAGAGAATAACCATAACAATATACTAGTTATGAACAAAGTGCTAGTAAAAACACATATCAATTATTTTTGTTATACTTCTTATTGGACCATGCAAGCAATTAAGAAATGGTTAAAAGTTGGAAATAAAGCTGTACACCCATAGCCTTTGAATCTTCAACTAAGTTGACAATAACAAACAATGGGGAAAAGACTTCCTATTCAATAAATTATGCTGGGATAGCTGGCTAACCATATGCAGAAGAATGAAACTGGATTCCTTTCTTTCACCATATACAAAAATTAACTCAAAATAGATTAAAGATTTAAATATAAGACCTTAAACTATAAGAATTCTATTAGTGAGCAATGAGTCTCTGGAAAAAACAATTCTGGAAGGAAACCTTGGAAACAAATTTTTTACGTGGGCCTTGGGAAAGAATTTGTGACTAAGTCTTAAAAAGCAATTGTAACCCAAACTAAAATTGATAATTAATTAATTAATTACTTAATTAAACTAAAGGGCTTCTGCATAGTGAAAAAAACATCAACAGAATAAACAGACAACCTACAGAATAGGAGTAATTATTTGTAAACTATGCATCCAACAAAGGTCTAATATCAAGAATATATCAGGAACTTAAATCAACAAGCAAAAACAACGAACCCCATTAAAAAATGAGCCAAGGACATGAACAGACACTTCTCAAAAGAAGACATACAGGATAGACGGCAGAAAGTGGAAGGGCAAGCAAACCTACCAGAGAGGAGTGGGTATGAGACTTTTTTTTTTTGAGTCAGGGTCTCACTCTTTTACCCAGGCTGGATTGTAGTGGTCTAATCATGACACACTGCAGTGCGACCTCCTGGGCTCAAGCATTTCTCCCACCTCAGCCTCCTTAGTAGGTGGGACCACAGGCACAAGCCACACAGCTGACTAGTTTTTAAATTTTTTGTAAAGCTGGGGACTCACTCTGTCGGTCAGGCTGGTTTAAAACACCTGGGCTCAAGTGATCCTCCCACCTCAGCTTTCCAAAGTGCTGGGATTACAGGTGTGAGCCACAGCACCTCAGCCTGACAGGCTGTGCTCGGGTTGTGCTACCAGCCTGGATCCCACACCTGCCAAGGGCAAGCCAGGCGTGGAGCAACAAGGGGTGTGTAGGCAAGTGAGAGTGGGCTCCAGGCACTGAGCACAGCCAGGCAAGCTGTCTGCTACACAGAAGGGTTAGCAGCTCCAGGTACCGACACAGATGCCAGTTCCATTTGAGGCTGTGGCTGGACTAGATGTACAGGACACAGCTTCTGCTGTACAGGACACACCCGTGTCTGAATGAGAGGGATGTGGTTGTGCCTGGAAGCTTGGAGATGCAAGGAACTGCAGAGCGCCAAAGGGGTGTCATGGCCCAAGCTCTGGGAATCCCTAGGTCTGGGGTCCCTGAAGGGCCACAGCACTTCTCTCCTTCTCTCTACCCACAATGTGGCAGGGAGTATGGGGTGGTTCAGCCCTGTCTGTGTTACAGCTCTTTTAGTCCAGCCATTCAGCGGGTCCCAAGTTCTTGTCCCATGTGCAGGAAGAATGAGATATGTGGAAAACTGAAGGGTAAGCAAGGTGGAGAGGAGCTTCAGTGAGCAGCAGAACAGCTCTCAGGAGACCCAAAGTAAGTGGCTCCTTTATGCAGGCAGGTTGTCCCAGTGAGTGTCCAGTTCTCAGTGGAGAGGGGACCCACAGTGGATAGCTCCTATCAGCAGGCAGGTCATCCTGACGTCTGCAGTCTCCAGTTCAGAGTAGACCTGGAGTGCATAGCTGCATAGCTCCTATATGCAGGCAGGTTGGCAGGTTGGCAGGTTTTCCCAACATCTGTCTGAGTCTGGCTCAGTGTGTGGGGGTAGGGGGGCTAATTGGCCCGTGGGTGGGGTGGCCCAAAGTGCATGGTGATTGGTCCATGGGTGGCCATGGGCAGGTCCAAAAAAAGGCACGGTAAGTTCTCTTTCCGGGCTTCGGACTCCACACATAACTGACAGCCTGGCTCCCGGGATTCAGGCTGTCCCTGGCTCGAAGTTGGGCTTCACCGGGACCATTCCTCTCTACCCAGGAACCTGTCTCCCGCCATCATCAACATATCGTACACAGCACTCAGGCTGTTTGTGCCAAGAAGTGCCTCATGGACCACGCTGAACTGCCCTAAGCCTCTCCTTGGCCTCCCTCTTGTGCTCATCGGCACTCAAAGTCTGGAGGGGCCAAGGCAGCGGGGGACTGACGTGTCAGCAATGCCTGGAGCACGCGCACACCGAGAAGGGTCATGAGAGCACCCAAGCTTGGCCTCAACTTTGCTACAAAATCAGAGTGGGCATCAGGAGTGGGGAGAGGTCAGGCAGTGGGAACAGGCACTTCCAAGCCTGCAGGGGCAGGGCTCTTCCCAGCCGCAAGAGCGCAGGGATGCCTGGGTCTACTGCCAGGGCCTGGCGGCTGCAGCTATATCCTGGAGGCCGGGGCTCCAGCCCCAGCAACTTGGAAGGTGGTGGGGCTCCCACCTGTTCCTGTCTTCTGCCCGACCCGTGGAGCACACAGCCCTGGTGGCGACTCCCCTGCGGCAGTTGGCACATTTTAGAGGCTGCTCCAGATGAGCTACCGCTCCCATCAATACCATTACAATGGCAGTTAAATTTCAACATGAGTTTTGGAAAGGACGTTCAAACCATAGCGCCAAATGATGAAACAGAAATCATTGAGTGATGAAGGTAATGAGGGGGAAGAAGTGTTTTGGTTTTCTAAATAACTACTTAAACTCTTGTGGATCACTAATTCATGATCCAATTGTATACGGAATAAGGAAAGTTGAACAATTAATTCATAAACAAAAATGAATGGAATAAAGTAGAATTAAACTGGATACTCTGAGGAATCTTCAGTAAAATATTTTATTTTTCTATTATGTAAATGTCCCGGTTTCCTGGAGTTATTCTAATAGTTTGATAAAGTTAAACACACAAACACACACACACACGCATGCACACACACACACCCCAAGTATTTTTCAGTGGCCCCAAAAATAGTTCACACAAATTTAAACCCTTCTGCCACAGATATCTTCAATAGAGTTAAGTATTAATAAATAAAATTAATATACCTCTGTGGTCACAAGATTCAGTATTAGAATGCATTGTAAAGCCATTTTAATAAAGCTTCTTCTATGGCATTTTGTTTCTAGATGCCGCTTTCTGAAAGTCTTCTAAAATATGTACAAGTTTGGTTAGCATCCACTTGGACACCCCTTTTTCATTGTTTCACAAATAACAAAGCCATTGCATTTTCAACTATATAAAGAAGTACATTCTGAAAGTAATGACTAGGATTGATGGTTGATGGGTGAGCTTGGGATACCTGGGAGATCCTTGGTCAATATTTATAAACTTTTTCATAAACACAAATTGGGGAGAATTGAGAAACTGGAGGTGGAAGATA
The DNA here is from genome assembly GCF_000001405.40 of Homo sapiens. Classification (NCBI taxonomy): domain Eukaryota; kingdom Metazoa; phylum Chordata; class Mammalia; order Primates; family Hominidae; genus Homo; species Homo sapiens. The sequence goes on from NC_000004.12 coordinate 116,479,520, forward strand.
TTGCCCCAGATTTCTCAACAGAAAGTTATCCAATGGTGGATTTACTAGTAAAAAAATGTGAGTAATCCCTTTACTGGAAGCAAAAGAATTCTTTGTTAAATTTTGTGTGTATTACTGAATATGTAACGGCATCGTGGTAGGCTAGTATTTGTTAAACCTAAAAAACATGAATCTTAAATGTTTAAGTTTTCATATATATATGTATGTAATTAATGGTCAAAGAGCATGACTCAGAGGACAATTGAACACTTTACCACATAAGAATTCATTTGAGGCTATTTTCACTGTCTTCAACAAAACTGACAAGTCATTATTACCAATAGAATGTCAGAAATAAAAATAGAATGTTTACTGAGATCTTATCTAAAATGTGTGTATCATTCTATAATTCTAATGTTTGCAGAGTTCTGCATTGTGATTATGGCTCTATGTAAAATTTTTCAAGCACTTTTCACTGCAGGGCCATGTAGCTCTTCCATTACTCCAGGAAAATTGCATGTGCATTACTAGTCTTTCAACCCAAAATATGAGAATAACAGCTGGACTATTTTAGTTGGTATTCTATATGTGTAACAAATAGCCTTTATTAAAGAATATATTTCCTACAGCAGAAACAACAATTTAACATAGTTGTAGATTATTTCTCTTTAAGTGATGACAAAACTAAGAAGTCCAACTCTAGGCCGAAATCCTGTGTGTGTTACATTTGTCCTGATGATAGGCAATTACAAAGACTGTACCTCTCAGGCCTCACAGAGGAAACTACCTTCCCCACACCAAGTGTGGTGCACAAAGAGTGCACTGCAGCCTCTGAAGGTAGTTGCAGCCAAGACTCTGGCCTCCTTGCTGGCCATGCTTTACTCACTGCTGCATTTCTAGACCAGTTGCCTCCACTGGAGTCTTCTTTATAAGGGGCTCTCCCTGAGGACTTCCTTAGCCACCTCTACTGAGACCTACTTATAGAGGGGAAGGAGAGAGCCTGGAAATACTTTTCTTCACCTGAACTTAGTTCTCATTACTTTTCCACTCCTAACCCTTCACCTTTACTCTCCCTCTAACTCCTCGGTCCATAAAATATCAGGAGTCTTTTATACAGGACTCCCTCAGCTGTGAGACAATGCACCTCTCATCTGTTGTGATACAGTTGACACTCACTTGGCACCTTTCCATGGGGAAAATGGAACACTGGGGGAGTTGGTGTTTTCTCTGTTTATCCTCTTGCTGTAGGTGATTAACGGCTTGACTGTTGTTTTCATTTTGACATGTTCTCTTAATCGCTACTCTGACATCTGTCAGATCAGCTCTCCATCTAAGCTCAGCTTTTGACATGTTTATTCTGTCTCTCTTTTACATTTAGTGAAGAGACCAATTTAGTAAACCTAAATTGCAAACCTCTCAGACTTGTTCATAAAAGCCAAAAAGAACATCATTTGCAAGTCTAACCCTGAGCCCGATTATTCTCGTGCAAATTAGGTTATATTTAATTTACTGAATCAATTGATCCCCGAAAGGTTTTATATGTTAAAATGGTTGAGAAAATTTAACTTATTTAAAAATTAAATCAAAACCCACAGGAGAAAACTGAGTACAGTTTCTACAGTTAGAGTTCCAAGTAGCAGTTAGCTGAGTCACCTGAAGTAGAATGGTCTGGCCAGGAGTCAGTTCATCAACAGATAAAAGAACTAAGAATGATATCTCACAAAGTTAATTTGAAATTTAAAATATACTATATATAATGTAATTACCATGTTATCTGGTACATTAGTTTCTGTTTATTAAATTTATCTATTTTCATTAAAATGATTAGTTATACCAAAATCAGACTCAAACTTCATTCTTTTGCTTTCTTCTTGCTTTTATACATCTGAGTAGGTTCCTTATGTCTTTGTAATATAATGATCATGTCAATTCTTTCCTTTCCTCCATATTCTTTCAATTATAAACTTGTTTATTAAATAAATATTTTTTGAGTTGTTAGAATACATCACATACTGAATCAGGCATTGTGTATACAAAAACACACTCAGCTTTGTAGCAAAGTTACAAGCATACCATTGCAATATAATATTTTAATTTAGTAGTAGATATATGCATGGATGCACTTAATATAATACTATTTGAGTTTTCATTATCCATATAACATTGTACAACATAATCTAGTGAATAAAGCTGATGGATGACAACAACTGCAGGCTGCTCTCAAGAGTATTGAGAAAAGGAAAACTAGAGGGGGAAGTCTGGTTCTATTCATGACAAAGTAGCTTGTATTAGACAAACCATTCACTTAATAACAATAATGAAAAATGGAATCAATATAAAAGCAACTATTTTAAGGCACTAGAGAACAACCAAATTAGACAAAACCAGAAGGGGATAGAATCCTGGTAAGAAAAGAAGCAGACTAAGTTTAATACATTGAATAGTGTCTCCCAAAATTCACATCCACCAGAACTTCAGACTTTGGAAACAGGGTCTCTGCAGATGTCACTACTTAAGATGAGGTCATACCATTGCCTTTATGAGAAAAGGAGAAGATACAGGAAAACAATTCACAGTGAAAAGTAGACCATGTGAACACAGAGGCAGAGATTGGAGTTATGCAGTCATAAGCCAAAGAACTCCTGGGACTACCAGAAGCTGAAGAGGCAAAGAAGAATTATTTCATAGACCTTTAGAAATAACGTGGCTGTGCTGGTAGGTTAACTTCCAGATTCTGACTTTCAGAACTTAGAGAGAATAAATCTCTTTGTTTTAACCTACTCAATTTATAGTACATGATTATGGCAGTCCTAGGAAACTAATACAGTTGGTGAACTACCCATTTACCCATCTTTTTCCTGAGGGCTTTTCTCCTTTCATGGATGTGGCGGTACAAGAAGAAAGCCACTTTCTTAAATGCGAAGAGATAGGTTACTGGTTGAACTACCAATAACAGTGGGAAATTGAGGGAAAAACTTTGAAGAAAGAGAGACCAAGAGAGTTGAAAAAGCATACATATATTTAAAAAGATGGTTAAAGGCATAAAATAACTAATGATATAGTGCAGATTTATGGTTCTATGATCCAGGAGAGGAAGGAAATTAAAAGAGGTAAACGTAAGTTTAGCCTTTAGGATCATACATCCTTTAAGGCATCTATCTATTTTGGAAAAAGTTGCCAACAGGCTGCACAGCTGAGCAGAGTGTGAGAGTAGGGGTAAAAACCTGAGTGTAGAAACTGCCAAAGGGTGGAACATCGTAAAGCCGCCATGGACCCAAAGTGCTACATTCAGGAGCAAGTGTGAATCAGAAAAATCTATGGCCTGACAAGGAATCATATTTCAGTCTCTTAATTTCTGAATTATGATTGATGTGATGCATGATTGCAGACTTTGTTCTAGATTCCTGAAAAAATATAAATCCCTTCTGAAGGAAGATGGTATTACTTCAGGCTTCAAATTATTTCTATAATTTGTTAAATCACGAGGTCAGAAGATCGAGACCATCCTGGATAACACGTGAAACCCCCGTCTCTACTAAAAAACACAAAAAATTAGCCGGGCATGGTGGCGGGCCCCTGTAGTCCCAGCTACTCGCAAGGCTGAGGCAGGAGAATGGCGTGAACCCGGGAGGCGGAGCTTTCAGTGAGCGGAGATGGCGCCACTGCACTCCAGCCTGGGCGACAGAGCGAGACTGTCTCAAAAAAAAAAAAAAGAAAAAAATTCCTCTCTGCCACTTCCTAGTTAATGTTACTGTCTCCCCACCCCAGGCAACCATAGATTTGGTTCTATCATTATATATTAGATTTATATTTTCTAAAATTACACAAACATGGAACTTATAAATTATATAGTGACAAAAATGCAATTTATATCACCTGGTATTTCAGAAGTTTGTTTTTTGTTGTTGCTAAATAGCATACTGTTGTATAGATATACCACAACTTATTCTAGTTTGGGATCATTAAAAAATATATATGTTTTGGGAGGCCGAGGAGGGTGGATCACGAGGTCAGGAGATCAAGACTATCCTGGCCAACATGGTGAAACCCCGTCTCTACTAAAAATACAAAAATTAACTGGGCGTGGTGGCATATGCCTGTAATCCCAGCTACCGGGGAGGCTGAGGCAGGAGAATCGCTTGAACCAGGGAGTCGAAGGTTTTTGTGAGCCAAGATAGCACCACTGCACTCCAGCCTGGTGACAGAGTGAGACTTTGTCTCAAAAATCACACACTTACATATATATGTTATAAATATATATATATATTATATATGCTATAAATAGTTATGTAAAAGGTTTTTGTGTGTGTGTGTGGTCACGTGTTTTTTATTTTTCCTTAGTAAATGCCTCAGAGTAGAGTTTTACAGAATGATAAATGTATGTTTAATTTATGAGAATGTCAAACGCATTCTAGAGTTGTACCATTTAATGTTCTCCTTAACAATATATGAAAAAACTCATTATTCCACATCCTCAAAAACATTATTGGTACTGTCAAGTTCTTAATTTTAGTCATTTTGGTGGGATATCATGATAACTGATTATGATTCTAATTTGCATTTCTCAGATACTAAGGGCACTATTAATCTCTTGTGGCTGTCAGCCATTTTAATGTCTTTCTTGGACCAGTTTACCAAGTTGCTTGCTTTGTTTTTTATTTATAATAATTTTTCTATATTCTGGATACAAGTGCTTTGTCAGATCAATATTGGGAATATATTTCCAAATCTGGCTTGCCATTCATTTACATAATAGTGTCTTTTGGAAAATAGGAGATTGTAATTTTGATAAACTTTAATCAATTTATTTCAGGTTTCAGGCAATTTTATTACATCTAAGAAATCTTTACATATCAAAAGATCACAGGTAATTTTTTTCTCTGCATTTCCAGGAGCTTTATATTGTTGTCCTTTGCATATAGGTCAACAGTTTATTGGGAGTTAATTTTTGCATGGAGTGTAGGTAATAGCAAAAGCTCTTTTTTCATTCTTCTTTTTTTTTCTTTTTTATATTAGGATAAACAACCATAATCCATTGTTTAAAAGACAATCCTTTTCCATTGAATATTTTGGAACACATAATTGATAGATATGTGGGTCTCTTTATTACCAGAGATCAGCAAATTATTTCCATAAAGGGCAAGATAATTTTGTGCGTGTGTGTGTGTGTGTGTGTGTGTGTGTGTGTGTATACAATCATGTGGAGCATATGGTCCTCCATTGCAACTACTAAACTCTGCTGGGTTTTAAAAAATCATTTCAACTCTTATTTTAGATTCGGGGTATATGTGCAGGTTTGTTACGTGGGTATATTACATAATGTTGAGATTTGGGGTGGGTATGATTGATCCCATCACCCACGTACTGAGCATAGTACCCAATAGGTAGTTTTTCAATCCTCTCCCCCGCCCTCTCTCCCACCTCTAGTAGTCCCTAGTGTCTTTTATTGCCATCTTTAAGTGCACGAACACCCAAAGTTTACCTCCCATTTATAAGTTCCCATTCCCATTTATAAGTTGGAATATGGGGTACTGTGATGAACAGATGAGAGCATACGGTTTTTTATGCTAGAACAATTTGTTTTCTTTTGGTAACATACCCAGTAATGGGATTGCTGGGTCAAATGGTAGTTCTGTTTTAATTTATTTGAGAAATCTTCAAATAGCTTTCCACACTGGCGGAACTAATTTGCATTTCCACCAACAGTGTATCAGCATTCCCTTTTCTCTGCAGTCTCACCAGCATTTATTGTTTTTTAACCATTTAATAACAGCCACTCTGAATGGCGTAAGATGGTATCTCTTTGTGGTTTTAATTTTATTTCTCTGATGATTAGTGATGTTCAGCATTTTTGTAATTATATTTGTTTGCCTGATTCTATGTTTTCTTTTGAGAACTGTCTGTTCATGTCTTTTGCCAACTTTTTAATGGGGTAATTTGCTTTTTGCTTGTTCAATTGTTTAAGTCCTTTATAGATTCTGGATATTAAACCTTGGTTGTTGCATACTTTGTAAATATTTTATGACATTCTGTATGTTGTCTGTTTACTCTGTTGATAGTTTCTTTTGCTCTGAAGAAGCTCTTTAGTTTAATTAGCTCCCAGTTGTCAAATTTTTGTTTTTGTTGCAAATGCTTTTGACAATTAGTCATAAATTCTTTCACAAGGCTGATGTCCAGAATGATGTTTCCTAGGGTTTCTTCTAGTTTTCTTATAGTTTGAAGTCTTACATTTAAATCTTTAATCCATCTTGAGTTAATTTTTCTATATGGTAAAATGTAGAAGTGCAGTTTCATTCTTCTGAGTATGGCTAGCCATCTATCTCAGCCCCATTTATTGAGTAGGGAGTATTTTTCTCATTGCTTCTTTTTTGTCAACTTTGTCAAAGATTAAATAGCTGTAGTTTTAGATGTACAGCTTCGTTCTGGGTTCTCTATTCTGTTCCAACGTTAGCTCTGCCATTTTAGCATAAGAGCAGCCATAAGCATACTTGAACGAACAGCTGTGGCAGTGTTACAATAAAGTTTTATTTAAGAAATAGCCAGCTGGTTTTGGAATCTACTCTATTCCATACTCATGGTAAAACCACTGTGTCTTAATCACTATAGCTTAAAATGCAAATTTGAAATGATTTGTAATGAATCTATAACCAAATTTCAGGAAAATTGGCATATAAACAGTATGTCTTTTAATCTATGATTTAGTACTAATTTTTTAATTTTTTGTCAGCAATTAGTAATTTTTAGTGTATATTCTTTGTATGTATATTGTTAAATGTAACCATAATTGTTTCAGATTTTCTGATACTACTTTAATTAGTACTTTTTCTTTCACCTCCCATATATTTGTTGTTAATGAATCAGAACACAAAAACATTAACTTTGTATCCCAGGACAGGCGAGCAGCCTTATTGTATCTGATCATTGCTTTGTAAAGTCCTTAGGATTTTCTACAATAACCCATATTTCAAGTAAATAAAGATAGTTTTAATTATTCATTTCCAATCTATATGTTGAACATTAGTGGAAAATATTACATTCTTCAACGTTACATGTGAAATGAGAGATAGACTTTCACAAGCTCCTTTGATCAGGTTAAAGTGGTTCCCTGCTTTTTCTAGTTTGCTGAGTCATTATCGTATATAGATCTTCATTTTTTAAATTGCTTTTCCTGTGTAAACTTAGATCCTCATCTGGCTTTGCTCCTTTTATTTTCTTAGATGGTAAATTAACATTGATATTGAAATGTTAAACTAATCTGAGAGTCTTATGATAAATCCACTTGCTCAATTATCCTTTTTCAATATTGCTGGATTTTATTTGGTAATATGATGTTCATGAGAAATATTGGGGTATAGTTTTCTTTCCTTGTAATATACTTAAAAAAACTTATTCTTACTTTGGTATCAGAATAATGCTGGCCTCACTGAATGTAAGGAAGAATTTGCTCTTTGCTCTTCCTTTATTTCAACTTAGGTTTTTTGGGTTTTTTGTTTTGTTTTGTTTTGTTTTTTGAGACAGGCTCTTGCTCTGTCACCCAGGCTGTAGTACAGTGGTGTGATCACAGCTCACTGCAGCCTTGACCTCCCAGACTCAAGTGATTCTCCTACCTCAGCCTCTCAAGTAGCTGGGACCATAGGTGTGCACTACCATGCCCAGCTCTTTTATTTTTTATTTTTTTTCTAGAGATGGGGTCTTACTTTGTTGCCCAGGCTTGTCTCATCCTCAAGCAATTCTCCTACGTCGGCATCCCAAAGTGCTGGGATTACAGGCGTGAGCCAGTGCACCCAGCCTCCTTTACTTTATGAAAAATCTTTCAGGGCTGGTATAACTTCTTCCTTAAACTTTAAAAATTAATTTTTAATGTTTATGGGTACATTAAAAGTATATGTATTTATAGGGCATTTGAGATATTTTGATACATGTATACAATGTGTAATGCTCACTGTAAATAAGGTAAATCAGGGTAAATGGGTCTCCAAACATTTATCATTTCTTTGTGTTGCAAACATTCCACTTATACTGTTTTAGGTATTTTAAAATGTACAATGAATTATAGGTGACTGTAATCACCCTGCTGTGCTACAAAATACTAGACCTTATTCATTCAATTCAATTATATTTTTGTACCCATTTTACATCCTCACTTTCCAATTTCCTCCTCATTATCCTTCTCAGTCTCTGGTAACCATCGTTCTACTCTCTATCTTCATGAGTTCAATTTCTAACTCCCACAAATGAGTGAGAACATGTAAAGTTTGTATTTCTGTGCCTGGCCCTTATCACTTAGCATAATATTCTCTGGTTCTATCCTTGTTGCTCCAAATGACAGGATCTCATTCTTTTTATGGCTGACTAATACTTCATTGTAATTATGAACCACATTTTCTTTATCCATTCATCTGTTGATTCATCCAACTTAGGTTGATTAAAATCTCAGCTATTGTGAACAATATTGCAATAAACATGGGAGTACAGATATCTCTTTTATATACTGACTTCTTTTGTTTTGGGTGTATACCTAGCAGTGGGATTGCTGGATCATATGCTACTTCTATTTCTAGTTTTTCTGAGGAATCTCCATACTGTCCTCCAAAGTGGTTGTACTAATTTATATTCCCAGTAACACTGTATGAGGGTTCACTTTTTTCCACATCCTTGCCAGAATTTGTTACTGCCTGTCTTTTAGATAAAATAGATTTTAACTGGGGTTAGATGATATTTCATTGTGGTTTTGATTTGCATTTCTCTATTGTTCAATGATATTGAGCATCTTTTCATATACCTGTTTCCAATTTGTATGTCTTCTTTTAAGAAATGTCTATTCACATCTTTAGCCCACTTTTAAATTGGATTATAAGATTTTTTTCCTTTTGAGTTGTTTGACATAATTATGTATTCTGGTTATTATTAATCCCTTATCTAAAGGATAGTTGGCAAATATTTACTTCCAATCTGTGGTTTATTCCCTTCATTTTGTTGATTGTTTCCTTTACTGTACAAAAGGTTTTTAACTTAATGTGATCCCTTTTGTTCATTTTTCCTTTGGTTGCCTGTGCCTGTGCAGTATTGCTCAAGAAATTGGTGCCCAGTGCAATGTCCTGGGGAGCTTACCAAGGTTTTCTTTCATGGAGTTTCATAGTTTTAGGTGTTAGATTTAAGTCTTTAATCCATTTTACTTTGATTTTTGTATATGTAAAGATAAAGGAGTCTAGATTCATTCTTTTGCATATGGATATCTAGTTTTCTCAGCACCATTCACTGAGGAGACTACGTTTCCCAGTGGATGTTCTTGGCACCTTTGTTGAGAATGAGTTCACTGTAGATGTGTGAATTTATTTCTGCATTTTCCATTGTGTTCCATTGGTCTATGTCCCTTTTTATGTGAGCACTATGCTGTTTTACTTACTGTAGCTCTATAGTATAATGTGAACTCAGGTAATGCAATTCTTCCGGTTTTATTCTTTTCACTCAGGATGGCTTTTCACTCAACTCAACACAAATACACAAATCAAACACACAAATCACACACTCAACCAAATCTTAAAATACTTTGTCATAGCTTTTGAGAACCCAGCTGTCTTCAACATTTTTCTCAAGTGCACCCTTCAGATGCCTTTCCCAATATTTTTTCTTGTAGAGCAAAGTAACGTGATGTTTGATCATTTTATACCCTGAAGATTTCATAAATATCATCGGCTAACAAGAATGTGCATGCAAAAGTGGGTAAGAGAAATGTGTCCTAACAAATACTAAAATCCTCCTTATTCCTACAATTTGGGGAACATAATACTTCTTTTACCAGGAAGTGCAGGAATCCTCCATTCTTGTCTAACTTCGAAGAACGAATTTAGCTAAGAGACATATAGCAAGGGTTAAGTAACAGAATTTAATGAAGAAAAATAAGGTGCATTTTAGAGAGGAGTGGAATACAGGTCCAGGCATGTCCAGCTGGAAAACAGCTCAGGGGTGGTCCTTCTGGAAAAAATAGTAGTAGCCATGTTTATTTAAAGAGACAGTAGACTCTGAAAGATGAGACATAGTAGGATGCTTGAAAGAATGAGCCAACAGCAGCTAGTGCTAGGGGACTCTTTTTGTAAGAATCTTACATGATTATTTATGAAGGGGCCTGAGGGAGTGTTACTTGCGAGTATGTTTTTGAAGGATCCTTTGGTCACTATCATGTGCACATTATAGTACACACTTCGCATGTCTCATTAGCATTTACAGGCTCCACCCAGGGGTGTATTTTTACCTTTATAATGAGCAAAAGGCTACTCTAAGGTGAGGTTTTGGAGGAGTGTGCATGCTTATCAGTGGAGAAAATCCCTAACATAATTATCTTTGGCTAGGTTCTTTATCAGTCCCCTTCAGGGCCAGAGAAGCCTAAACACAAGGCTAGATGTAACCAGTGTAGCCATTGTCCTTTTTGCTATCAGTGAGCAGCATTGATTATCAGTGGGCAGCATCTCCAGGACTTCTTTAGCCAGGGGGCTCCCTTGCCTACTTGCTTCTGGCTATCTGCCTACTCTAACACTTCCCCAAACTAAAATTAGTTTATATTTTCCAGTAACTTACCTTGCTTGGAAGAGACTGACTAGTGGCTGCTCTAATCCATTCTTCTCCCTGGTCATACAAACTGGATTTTCCAGGCTCCTGGAAATTATGCAAGGGCAAGTGACTATGTTCAATCCAACGTGGTGTAAAGCTTATTAGAACATCTCACATCTAAATCTTTATAATCTTTAATTTTATCCAGGTGCAGATAAGCAGAACCTTCTAGGAATGGCTGAATCATAGATGGAAAGGATCTGGCTTTACAAATCACCACCTGGAGAAATGTTGTCTGCTGCTCAGGAATAGTTTTTGGACTTTACTTGAGCAAATAGTGAAATTCAATTCTGTTTTAACTAACATATCTTTGTGTCTCTCTGTTAGAGTGTTTAACATTACCATAACTATTATACTGGGTCCAGCCTAATTCTTATTATAAAAGCATTATTAATTTTTAAAGAGTTAATTACCTCAAATAGAAAAGGTTTTTGAGATGACTGGTGTTATCTGCAGTGGTTTATAGTGTGAGAAAAACGAAGGCTGCATAAAGAAATCTGAAATGCTGCGTATGTGTTTATAGACCTTAAATTGGCTAACTTGTTGAAATTTGCTGGTGCAAATTAAATGAGAAACCATTGCACATGCTTATAAATACATGCTTAATATACTTATAAAATAGCTGCTAGAAAATCCAGTATAATCTGGCAACTGCTTTAAAATAATTTAAAGAAGGAATTATTCTCTTATTTGAAACATCTGCATTTTTATGGCAAAAGCCATGCTTTGTATTTACCACGTGTTAACATAAAAAAGAAAGCATAAAAGATAGCTACTCTAATATAATGATAACATAATAGCATCGTTTCACCAAATAGTTTTTTCATTTTTCTAAGTGGCTTCCTCTTTCAATTCATGTAACAATTTGCCAGTTGTTATCCCTTTGGAAAAGTATTTATAAGTATGTTTATGTGTGTTTTCTTCTCTCTATAATATCTTCACAAAACAGAGCATAGCTAAATGTAGTTATCTACAACTCTAAGTAATTTTCTCAGGATCATTCACATTGATTGGTGGACTTTTCTCACTCACAATGAAATGAATAGTTCTGTTGCTGATTTCACCAATTCTGGGGAGAACAGGAATGACATTGCCTAGAAATTACCAAATACATCTAGTGTGAACTGGAAGAAACAGCAGTTAAATTAAAAATTACTGAGAAAATTTAAAATTGATACGTTCAAACTCCTAAACACTTGGTTGATATTTGAGCTTTTTCAAATATTGAAACAAAGTAATACATTGCAGCCAGGAAATTAATGGCAACAATAATAAACATTTTGACATTTTACAGTTTTTGTAATAATAATCATTGTTTTCTCTTTCAGTGGGATGGTACCATGCCAGAGGAGATCACAATTAAAGGTCTCAAATAATGACACTGCATTTTAGAGAATCCTCTTGACCATCTGACTTTTGAGAAAAATAATTGAGAAAAATTTGGAGGAAGAAATTGGGCAACAGCCATTATTATCTGACGAGCATCATGGTTAGTGTCTTTGATGGAGGATATACTGGCAGGACTTGGCTTATTTTCACTCTTTCCACTCTATATTGATCTATTGATCTCTTCTTCCCAATTGTGGTCCTGCTAACCAACAGTAAGCCTGGGATCATCTTTAGATGTTTTGATGCAAATTCACAGATACACTGGTGACAAGAAGCAACAATTTACATAGCCCACTTGCCAGGCCCACTCCAGGAGCTAGACAGGGTTAGCTTCAAGAACTTCTTACAAGTACCAATGTATTTGCCCACACCACTCATTCAGGAAAGCTGGTGTGGGCTTTTTCTCTGATTCTGGCCTTTTGGGCTCTTTACTATTTAAGCTTGTCCCACGGTGTGTAAGGTCTTAGTCTTACAAAAATTTTTCTTATGAAATAATATACATGATGGTGGCTCTTCTCTTGACTTAACTCCAATTGGTTCAGATGATTATGTTTTATGACTTTTTTATTCTTCCTCCATATCATATTGCCATACTTCTCAACAACATGTGTAGCATTTTTCTAACATTGTGGAACTTGTGATGCCATTCTCATTAGATTCCAAAAGAAAATTTAGAATTATAATTCCATTATGTTCCATTATGTTACTCATACTCTATGAGTACATGTTCTCATATTGTAAAATAATGACTAGATGAGTCAACTGTCAGAAAGCTGCAGACGAATATAGAGTGGACAGAATTATTGAGTATAAATCACAATAGTATAAATATTTAGTTTCTTCTATTTCTTTTTGCATTCTTTTCTCCTCCCTTTCTTTCTTTACTTTCCTGGGTTTGATTATGCCATTTCTAGAACATGCATAAAAATGACACTTTATATAAATTCCCATACAAATTTAATGAGGCCAGGCGTGGGGGCTCATGCCTGTAATCCCAGCACTTTGGAGCCGGAGGTGGGCGCATCTCCTGAGGTCGGGAGTTTGAGACCAGCCTGACCAACATGGAGAAACTCTGTCCCTACTAAAAATACAAAGTTAGCCAGGTGTGGTGGTGCATGCCTGTAATCTCAGCTACTCCGGAGGCTGAGACAGGAGAATCGCTTGAACTCAGGAGGTAGAGGTTGCCGTGAGCCGAGATGGCACCACTGCACTCCAGCCTGGGCAACAAGAGCAAATCTCCATCTAAAAAAAAAAAAAAAAAAAAAAAAATCCCAGTAATTTAAGAAAAAGAACCAATGTAAAATCTTCCAAAATATTTTTTTGTCTATCTTTCTATATTTTGATGTTTCCTCTATTGTTTTTAAAACTTTTATATTTTTGGCCGGGCACGGTGGCTCACGCCTGTAATCCCAGAACTTTGGGAGGCCGAGGCGGGTGGATCACGAGGTCAGGAGATTGAGACCATCCTGGCTAACATGGTGAAACCCCGTCTCTACTAAAAATACAAAAAATTAGCCGGGCGTCATGGCAGGCGCCTGTAGTCCCAGCTACTCGGGAGGCTGAGGCAGGAGAATGGCGTTAACCCGGGAGGTGGAGCTTGCAGTGAGCCGAGATGGCGCCACTGCACTCCAGCCTGGGCAACATAGTGAGACTCCATCTCAAAAAAAAAAAAAAAAAACTTCTACATTTTTATATCAAATTGGACTTTATTCCTGAGTTAGTTCTTCCATCTGTTGGTAAGGGCTTAGGAACTCCATTAAAGATAAATATAACTAATTGTTTCTAACTGATGAATCTACAACTGTGTTCAGGCTTAAGAAGCCAAACATAGGCTTCACATGCCCTTTGGCAAGTTATGTGTAATAGGAGATTAACATCACTTCGTGCTTGGTTTTGTTTTCGGGAACTCATTACAGTAAAACTCTGGAACATTATAACATTTTTCCTTCCAACTCTTGCTTGAGATATATTTTGGAAGCTGTTCTAACTTCAGGACACTGCTGACAATTACGGGAATGGATAGTGACAATATTCCCCAAATGTTTATTCCACCGGAGCCTACAAGAAATTATTCAAATTAGTTAGTGAAAGGAAATACGCAGTGGCATAAGTAATCAAAAGTGTTTAGTCCAAATGTGTCCGGAAAATATTTTTGCAATGAATTGTAACGGTTTCATTCCAGATGTAACTTCTTAACTTATTTTAGTTTGACTAGTACTAGCATTCTCTACAAACAACAGGCCCTGGCAAAAGGAGACCTAATCTGGAAAAAACGTGGAAAAGCATAACCAAGTTGGTTAAATTTGGATATAACCAGAATGGAAAATGTTCAGTTTTAAAATAATAATTAATATTTATTTTTATGAATCTAATATTTAATTAAAGAGTTTATAAGACAGCATGATTTTTTTTCTTTTGTAGACATTTTTCTATAAACATATGTACTATATGTAAGGAAGCAGGCCACCTTAATAAAACACCTCAAAACAACTCTTCAAGTTTGAGTAGAGAGAAACTTTTGCTGACTGCTTTCTACTTTCCAATTCTTTTCTGGAATTTTAAATTCTTTTTGAGAGCACCAAACTCATCAAGATGTATTACTTCCTCTCTAAATTCTGACATAGAAAGGAATGAAAATTCTTTTGAATGACTGAAATAGATTGGCTTGAGTACGCACACACACATACATACCTGTTTTCAAAAATTTAAGAAATAAAACTAGGAATAAGAGAAGTCAATATCAATATTTTCAATTATAAGGTATAAAATATGCTGTAGGATTCAATATTTATCGCAGCATGTTTGAAAGCTTGGGGCAGTTAGGCCCACCAATTAAATGCAATGATTTACATACCTGTGATCCTTGTTCTCATCTCAAATGGCAGGCCGTTTGCACCTATGTTTTCTTCCTTATACTCTTTCCCACATTTCTTCATAGTACTAAGCCCAGAAGTCATCGTTCAACTATTGACATTAATGTAACCCATACCATAGTGAAGACAGGGCCATTATAAATAAGTACTACCCTCAAAGTCTCTATGTTATTTGTCCCCTCCCATTACAATCCTAGATCTGTAGCTGGTCATATGGTTTATTTTCTTTGGAATCTCTAGTAGCCACTCCCTTATGTGCTTCTATGTAATATATCCAACGCAGATAATCTGGACAACTTAACTTTTCATCTTCTTTACCCAAGCACCTGAGAAATGCTATGGAGAGATTACAAGAGTTGATAATTTTCTGTCTTAGATTATTAATTAATTTCTTCACTTAATCACTCAATTTATTTTAATTAGCTCTCTCTCCAATCCTCACTTACTAGGCATCTAAACTTTATCTCTCCTCAAATTCCTTTCCCAAATTTAACTCTCTTTAATATCAATACTAGTATCTAAACTTTATCTCTCCTCGAATTCCTTTCCCAAATTTAAGTCTCTTTAATATCAACACCAGTAAACTCTCAATTTCCAAACCCAATACATATTTCTCAGGCTTTATCATCAGAAGATACTTTACACTGATGAATGCTGTCTCCATGAATTGCACTTGGTTTCAATCACACCACATCCTTGGTTTTCCAACTGTTTTTCTGTCTCTTCTTTCTTGGTTTCTTTTGTCCAACCTCTTTGTTGCCATTTTTCTCCTCTATACCTTGCCTTGGAGTAAGCTCATACATAAACCTTGCTTTTAAACCTACCAATACAAGGTTGTTGGAAGGAAGTGATCTCAGGGCAAACAGAAGAGAATTAAGTATCACAGAAGGAAATAGCTACTAAGCCTATGAATGGAGAGAAAAAGGGATGAGTTCATGTTACCAGAGCTCAGGATTCTAAGCTTTCAAATGGAAACTGGAACTTTTGAAGATGGGATGTCAATCAGGAGCTTGAACCATAGATGATATAACCTCTGATATGAAAAACCATAAAATGGAAGAAGTATCCTGGCTTCATCACTTTCTAATCTCCGGTGTTTACCATTGGCAAACCAGGAACAGAACCAGTGAGCAAGAGCACCTGTGACATCGCAAGCATCAGTGCTCTGCCGTAGAGAGTAGAGCAAAGAACAGGAAATGGATCCGAGAAAAATTACACAAATTACTGCATCATGATGTTATTGGCTCCTGGGCTTTTCCATTGGCTGTTGCTTTTATTTTTATTTTTTTCCCCACTCATATTGTGACTGTGACTATGTAGATTCTGCTGATCCACTCTTTTCTCTCTCCTATATACTTCAAGTATTTGGGTAACACAGTATTGTAACATATATATCTATAAATGTTTTGAAGAATGTTAGTATTTAACTTTTTTCAAATTTATATCAAAGTTCTGAATCGAAATAAACCATTCAGTATATGTTTGTTGAATAAATAAACATCATTTATACAAAATACCAGTTTCTGGGCTTATAAATACTGGTAAAGCCAGCAAAAGAGTACCAGTCCTTGGAATACTTGGTTCACAGATAACTACACTCAAGTTCTAGATGTGTAAGCATGATTTCATAAACTTCTTAATTCAAAGGTTCTCATACTACAGACAATCTCCACGTTTTCTTCATTATACATAAATATCAATTTTTCTCCATTTTAAAATAATTTAAAAACTTGTAAAATGCAAATTGTATTCCTATATAATTCTGTTGTATTGTCTTGGGAATACATTTTACAACATAAGAGGGCAGAGAACTGGTTAAGAGGCTAGATTCTTGAGTCTGACACAGTGAATTTGTATTCTAACTTCATTTACCTACTGAAAAACCTGAGTGAAATTATTTAGTTTCTTTGAGCACCAATTTTCTCATGTTAAAAATGAGGAGATTAATATTAGCTAACTTGTATGGTTGTTGTGAATATTAACTAAAGACAGATAAAATGATTTTTAAAATGTCTGGCACATAGAAAGTGCTGTAGAAATATTAAGTGTTATCACTCCTAATAATCAGATTAATACTCATGAATTTTAATGAATACGAATTCAAATGATTTGCTTCTCACAACTAACAAGGCAATATTCCTATAAAAGCCCATTATAGGAGGATGTAATGCAAAAAATCATAAATATGTAATAGTGTAATATGCACAACATGAATGAAAACAATTAATATAGTTAATGTGCTTACAAACTAAACTTACATAAACAGGCAAAGCTTTATTTCACGTGCTATTATATAATTATGTAATTAGGTGCCTAATTACATATCAGAGACTGCTGTCCAATTAGAGAAGATAAAAGAATGTACTGGAGTGGATCTGAAAAATATTTGGTCAGAAAAACACAGTCTCGCTGAGATTCCCAGAAAGCACTGCCATTTTGAATAGTTAATATAAGTATTTTTAGAAACAAACTGGAAATGTTTATTAATGATTAAATTAACTTTTAAGGATTTCAACAGAAAAAATAAAAAACTTAGAAAATATAATAAAATGTTAGCACTCAAGACTGACTGACAAACTGCAATATAGTATTAAATAAATAATGATGTTAGAAAACATGTTTGTATGTGCTTTTTCGTAAGTGGTTTCTAACTTTTATAGTTCTCTTTTCAACTTCACCAATGCTATTTGATTCCCTAAATTCAGATCCAGATTTCTCTTAGTTTTCTTGTGTCTCTTTCAACATTATGCAGAATAAATTCTATTCTTAA